>NC_000001.11:213033071-213184587 GCF_000001405.40 Homo sapiens
GGGCCTCAAATTTTGAGCATGATGGTGTTTTCCAGTTCTGTTTTGTTATGATTTCTCTTTTTATATTTTATCTCTCACTGCCATGTGTTTTGAGCAGAGAATGTCTTCAATGCAAGAGCTTAAATAGTATCTTCACTAGAAGTACAAATATACAGTATTATGTAATATTCAGAAAAAATATCTTTATAAGCTGAAAGTCTGTTCCTCAAGAATTATTGAGATGTAGTGTAGCACAGTAAAATGGGAAAACTTTTTTTTTTCTTTTTTGAGACAGAGTCTCAAAGCTGGAGTGCCAGTGGTGGGATCTCAGCTCACTGCAGCCTTAACCTTTTAGGCTAAAGTGTTCTTCCTGTTTCAACCTCCCAAGTAGCTGAGCACCACCATGCTTGGCTAATTTTCTATTTTTTGTAGAGACAGTGTCTTGCTATATTGCCCAGGCTGGTCTTGAACTCCTGGGCTCATGCCTTCCACCTCAACCTCCTAAAGTGCTGGGATTACAGGTGTGAGCCACTGCAGCTGGCTGGAAGACGCTTGAATCAAATAGACATGGGTTTTAACACATACCCTGACACTTCTCAGTTGTGGCATTGGGCAAACATATCACCTCTTTGGTCACAGTTATCTGCAAAATGGGGATAATAGTACTTATAAAATATTATGAAGATGGCTGGGCGCAGTGGCTCACTCCTGTAATCCCAGCACTTTGGGAAGTCAAGGCGGGCAGATCACAAGGTCAAGAGATCAAGACCATAATGGCCAACATGGTGAAACCCTGTCTCTACTAAAAATACAAAAGTTAGCCAGGCGTGGTGGTATGTGCCTGTAGTCCCAGCTACTCGGGAGGCTGAGGAAGGAGAATTGCTTGAACCCGGGAGATGGAGGTTGCAATGAGCCGAGATTGCGCCACTGCACTCCAGCCTGGCGACAGAGTAAGACTCTGTCTCAAAATAAATAAATAAATAAATAAAAATGAAGATAAATAAAATGATAGATGTAAAGTACCTGTCAAAAGATACAGAGGGGCAGAAATATTTTGTTTTTTCATTACATTTATATGCAAATTTTTTCATCACATAAACTTGATTAATAAAGTAGCATAGCCAGGGGCGGTGGCTCATGCCTGTAATCCTAGCACTTTGGGAGGGCAAGGCGTGTGGATCACCTGAGGTCGTGAGTTTGAGACCAGCCTGACCAAAATGGAGAAACCCCATCTCTGCTAAAAACACAAAATTAGCCGGGCATGGTGGCACATGCCTGTAGTCTCATCTACTTGGGAGGCTGAGGCAGGAGAATGGCGTGAACCCAAGAGGTGGAGCTTGCAGTGAGCCGAGATCGCGCCACTGCACTCCAGCCTGGGTGACAAAGTGAGACAACGTCTCAAAAAAAAAAAGAAAAATAAAGTAGCATATACTGAGTGGATAATATACATATAACAGAATTTTGTGCTGTTCTGTTCCTTTGGAAAATAGTACAGAGAAAAATTAAAAACAGAAGACAAAAATTATATAAAATGAGAACTAATATCATATAGATTCAATACATAAGAGAAGTATCTATCTGATACTTTCAGATTTTTCTAAAAAAGTATCTATTTTGGTTATTGTACATTAGCATACTCCTTTGGAAGATTGATGTTAATCTTCCTGTCCATCAGGAAAATGAATATCCTTTGTTAAAAATCTCCCTAATTAGTAGTTACATAATCATACATACATGCTGATAACATGTATATATAATTCTGGGGTATAAAAATTACTTTGCCCTTTTCTTCTGTCTTAGTCTGTTTTGTGTTGCTGTAACAGAATACCTATGGGGTAGTTTTTAAGGAATAGAGGTTTATTTAGCTCACAGTTCTGCAGGCTAAGTTCAAAAAGCATGGCACCCCAGCATCTGCTCAGCTTGTGGTGAGGGCTTTTATGTTGGCTCAAGACATGGCAGAGAAGGTCAAAGGGGAAGGGAATATGGCAAAATCTGAGGGGCATACTGGCTTTACAGCAATTCACTCCCATGGGACCGTCCCACAAAAATTAATCCAGTCTTGTAAGACTGAGAACTCACTTACTACTGCAAGAACTGCACCAAGCCATTCATGAAGGATCTGCCCCCATAACCCAAACACCTCCCACTGGGACCCACCTTCTAATACCACCACATTGGGAATCGAATTTCTTTTCTCTTTTTTTTTATTTCTTAATTAATTATTTATTTTTTGAGACAGCGTTTCACTCCCGTTGCCCAGGCTGCAGTGAAATGGCATGATCTTGGCTCACTGCAACCTCCACCTCCTGGGCTCAAGTGATTTTCTTGCTTCAGCCCCTCAAGTAGCTGGGACTATAGGCATACACCACCACGCCATGCTAATTGTATTTTTTGTAGAGAATGGATTTCACCATGTTGCCCAGGTGGGTCTCAAACTCCTGAGCTCAAGCCATCCACCTGCCTTGGTCTCCCAAAGTGCTGGGATTTGTGAGCCACCATGCCCAGCCATGGGAATCAAATTTCAGCATGAGTTTTGGAGGGGACAAAGTCAAACCCATAGTACCTCTTATAAAACAGAATTTGGCAAAATATAGATTGCGAGGAAAAGCTAAAAAATAAGGATGAAAAGCCCATTCAGAATGTCTCTCAACTCCCACACATGTACTTGTACTTTGCTCTCAGCCTCCAAATCCTGGAAAATGTTTCTGTATAACCTACCAACTCTTTCAGTAAAAATATCCCAGGTTGTCATGGTGACATAGTTTTTCCCGTACAGAACCTTATAGTCTGGTATGGTAGTTTCCTAATTTTTTATGGTTGTGGAATTCTTTCTTTCTTTTTGGTACTATTTCTTATTTTTCCAGCTGAATATTATATCTAGGCTTGCTGAAGTGGTAGCAAATTATAGATTTAATTTGAAGCAGGGCAGATTTAACCAATGGTCTTATAGTCATCAGTAAGTCAGTCTATAACGCTGATAGAGTACTCCATGAGTATGTGTTCTGCAGTGGTCCTTGATGAAAACATCATAGCACTTAGCCCTTGCTAGAATTTCTAATTTCTTTCTCTAACATGTGTAGACTAAGAACTTTTGATGTCCAGGCTTTTAAAACAGAAGAACAGTGATAGGAATTTGGTAGTCAGGATATAAAATTTAAGTTAGCCCTTCTCTTTCCTCCATCCCTAAATCCCTCTTTTTTTTTTTTTGTCACCCAGGCTGGAATGCAGTGGTGCAGTCTTGGCTCACTGCAACCTCCGCCTCCCTGGTTCAAGCGATTCTCCTGCCTCAGCCTCCTGAGTAGCTGGGACTACAGGCGTGTGCCACCACATCCAGCTAATTTTTGTATTTTTAATAGAGATGGGGTTTCACCATGTCGGCTGATCTCAAACTCCTGACCTCGTGATATGCCTGCCTCAGCCTCCCAAAGTGCTGGGATTACAGGCGTGAGCCACTGCACCTGGCCAACCCTTTCTTATTTCTACCTCTCAGCCCCAGAATAGGGCTTTGCAGATTTGTGAGAACTTACACTACAGAGACTTGTGGATGTTATGTAATTGAGCTCATCTCTAGCAGATGACCTTACTGCCTGGCCTGGTTTGTTTTAGGGTTCCTAAAATGGTTTTTCTCGAAAGGTATTAAGAAGCAAGAGCCAATCTAAGGGGCTCCTTAGACCCAGGAAAGAATGAAGAGGCTGAGCAATGGAAAGTCAGAGGAGAAATGAGAGAGCTGCATGTAAGAATGAGCAAAAGTGCTTTCTGTGATTGTCTGATATCCATTTGAGGAGAGAAACCATGTCTATTGTTTGTTAAATAATGAATAAATAAATGGCTATTTGGTGGTCACGTATTCTGCCTCTGCCCATGCCAAAGCTAGATATTGATCTGGAAGTAGTGTATGTTCTTAAGGATGATTAACATCAAGGAGCAAGGTATGTATCCTTTTGTTCCTTTTAATGAATGTTTTGTTTATTGATATCTAAACCTTGGGTGTCTGGAATACTGGAGGTTAAAAAAATGATTTAAGGGACTCTTTGAGCTATTATAATATTTTGAAAAAAATCTAATAGAAATTGAAGAAAAATTCACAGCCATAAAGCGAAAGTTCACCAAAACCTTGTGTTTTTGTTTTTGACTGATAATATATAAGTTTAATATAGTAAGATTTGTTATTCTGGTCAGAAGCTCAGATCTGTCAATGACTTCAATTGACAAAGACAAAAAAAGATGATATTATTGTTGTTATATTAATATTTAATATATTTAATTTAGTTATACATTAATTGCCTTTTATTTGTGATTAATTATACTGGACAGCCTCCATTCCACAAAATAGAATTAGAACTTCCGGCCAGACATGGTGGCTCACGCCTGTAATCCCAGCAATTTGGGAGGCCAAGGCAGGCGGATCATGAGGTCAAGAGATTGAGACCATCCTGACCAACCAACATGGTGAAACCCTGTCTCTACAAAAAATACAAAAATTAGTTGGGCGTAGTGGCACACGCCTGTAGTCCCAGCTACTCAAGAGGCTGAGGCAGAAGAACCACTTGAACCCGGGAGGCGGAGGTTGCAGTGAGCTGAGATAGTGCCATTGCACTCCAGCTGGGGTGACAGAGCAAGACTCCGTCTCAAAAAAAAAAAGAGAGAAAAAAATAGAAAAGAAAAGAAAGAAAAGAACTTCCATTGGCTAATAACAGAAAAATGGGTTTTGGAAGATGGGAGCAATGAAACAGAACAATAGAAAAAAAAAAAGAAAACCTGGCCTGTAATCCCAGCATTTTGGGAGGCCGGCGTGGGTAGATCACCTGAGGTCAGGAGTTCGAGACCAGCCTGGCCAACATGGTGAAACCCCTTGTCTACTAAAAATGCAAAAATTATCTGGGCATGGTGGTGCACACCTATAATCCCAGCTACTCGGGAGGCTGAGACAGGAGAATCGCCTGAACCTGGGAGGTGGAGGTTGCAGTGAGCTGAGATCACGCCCTTGTACTCCAGCCTGGGCAACAAGAGTGAAACTCCATCTCGGGAAAAAAAAACAAAAACAACAACAACAACAACAAAAAAAACCTAATTGGTTAACATTGGGTTACTTTTTTGTAAAGGATAATGCAGAAGAGACTTCCTTACGATGACTCAGTTAGACTAGAATCTCTTGTTTTCAGAAAAGAAACTGGTATTATTTGGAACCTATCTACTTCCTTAAACTTTCAGTTTGGTTAGGTGGCGTTTAGGATGAGTGACTCCATTTTGGTTTGGTTTGTTTTGGGCCCATTGCAGGAGCTCAGTTCAAACAACGACCTTTCATAATCTTGTTCAACAATTCTTCCCTTTTTGGTCAGGCTCTCTCCTAGGTGGGAGTGTGACCAAAACTCTGAGAGTGTTAGCGCTACTCTCAGTTACCACCACTCTGGGTTTCCAGTCTCAATACACCATTCATAGGTTACAATGTCCTCATGATAATACATTTCTTTGTTCCAGCCAAAGAGAGATTATTTGACATTTGATGGATGACTGCATGCAAACATTTAAAGCTTTTTTTTTTTTTTTTTTTTTTTTTTTTTTTTTTTTTTTGAGACGGAGTCTCGCTGTCGCCCAGGCTGGAGTGCAGTGGCGCAATCTCGGCTCACTGCAGGCTCCGCCCCCTGGGGTTCACGCCATTCTCCTGCCTCAGCCTCCCGAGTAGCTGGGACTACAGGCGCCCGCCACCTCGCCCGGCTAATTTTTTGTATTTTTAGTAGAGACGGGGTTTCACCGTGTTAGCCAGGATGGTCTCGATCTCCTGACCTCGTGATCCGCCCGCCTCGGCCTCCCAAAGTGCTGGGATTACAGGCGTGAGCCACCGCGCCCGGCCACATTTAAAGCTTTTGAGAGAATACAGCATACCAGAGAGACTTCTGTTATGACTATCAGAAGGGTAATCCAAAAGTTTGGAGTATACTCTTGAGCCAGGATCCCCATGAACCAAACCAATTAAAATTGATTAGATCACAGAGAGAGCCAGATGAGGAGTCTACTCATTTTAACCAAGTAGCCTGTTTGTTAATTTTTGCAAATGAGGCTCTACAATATCTGATGTATTTATCCATGTGCAACAAGAAATGTCAGCAACTGCACAGACTCATCCTATTCAGTTAGCAGATAATCTAGCATCCCATGACGGGGTTAAATTAAAACAGGGAATGAGAACAAGTGGATCTAGAAGTTTAACTCTATAAAAGAGACCATAAGTACAATTTGAAAAAAAACAGTGGCATTAGGGATGTTGCTAAAGTTAGCCAATGGGTGAACTAATGGATCTTGAAAGCCATGTAAAGATTCAGGTTTGACATGATGGATCCAACACTTCAAGTTGCCTGCAGAAGCTACTGACTGTGAAATTCTAATTACAGCATTATCCTGCCAAGTGAAAGAGGTAGGTATAAGCAAAGAAAAATTAAGAGAGGGAAGAGTCTCATTACGATGGGGAGTCTGTTCTGATATCTTGGGAAAAGCTGTCCAAAGCATGAAGTCATCAACTTCCCATGGCCTTCTATAATTTTCATTTAACAGTTGTAAACTGTCTTATATCAGCATTCACCATTTCATAATTTCTAGAAATATATTTCCTCCATTTTCCATGTTAATTAACAGATCCAAATATATTTAGCTTCTTTATACTGTACAAAAACAAGATGCCAATATATATTTTTAAATTAAGTTCAACAATTAATGTTTCAGTATTTTAACTTACTCAGAAATGACTCAGACATTTCATGGATCTCTATCTCTTATATAATATAGCTAAGATTTCAAGTTATGAAAAAGAATTCTGTAATTATTACATTAGCCTAACTTACTCATTCTTAACAATTATGTTTGAATTGCTCATGGCAAACAAGGCTGGCCATCATCTGAAGTTACTTTTTAACAAGTCAGGCAAGTATCAAAAATATCACAGAAGCAAAGAAATGAAAAAGTTAAGTATGATTTTTCCCTCTGTTTTTCCTTTCATTAATGACATGCATTAACCAATTTATTTTCATCATGCATTCGGCTCCTAGGTTGGATTTATAGTTTTGTGACCTTAACCATCTAGGAGATAAAACTTGTTTGACTAGTAAGCCTATGTTTTAAAACTGCATGCTTGGGCCAGGTGCAGTGGCTCATGCTTGTAATCCCAGCACTTCGGGAGGCCGAGGTGGGCGGATCATGAGGTCAGGAGTTCGAGACAAGCCTGGCCAACATGGAGAAACCCCGTCTCTACTAAAAATACAAAAATTAGCTGGGTTTGGTGGTGCATGCCTGTAGTCCCAGCTACTTGGGAGGCTGAGGCAGAAGAATCACTTGAACCCGGGAGGCGGAGGTTGCAGTGAGCCAAGATTACACCACTGCATGCCAGCCTAGGCAACAGAGTGAGACTCCATCTCAAAAAAAAAAAAAAAAAAAAAGAGCTTAGAGCGAGCATGTTGCCTGTTAACAAAGATTAGTGTCATTGAGGCTGTGGAGTAGCTTTTAGGTCCAAATGTATCAAAAACTCACCTGAGTGACAAAGCATCCATTTCTGCTAAATCTGGATTTGATGTATTTTCCTCTAATTTGGTCTTGAGGTTGTCTCTGTAGAGTGGCTATGAATTCTAGCCCTGTCCTGGTGGAAAGCCAAGAGATTTGGTCATGGATATTTACAGTATGCCTTTCATGGGATACTTCTTTATCCTGGAATGCCGCCTAACACCTAAATGCCTGATCTGCAATGTGTCCCTCTGAAAGGAAACTTGTTTATACTGCAGATGCCCATGTGGCTCCATGATTGACCTGTGTCCAGTTTATTCCTATCATGAGAGCCACTTTCTAGGAGAGCCCTGACTAGGAGAAGAGTTAGGCTCAGCTGTGTCAGTCAGGTGAGACACAGAGGCAGGCGCCTGTAATCATAGCTACTTGGAGGCAGGAGAATCGCTTGAACCCGGGAAGTGGAGGTTGCAGTGAACTCATCAGATAGGGCCACTGCACTCCAGCCTGGGCGACAGAGGGAGAAAAAAAAAAAAGAAAAAAGAAATTAGCTGCACATTGTGGTGAGCGCCTGTAATCCCAGCTACTCAGGAGGCTGAGGCAGGAGAATCGCTTGAACCCGCGAGGTGGAGATTGCAGTGAGCCAAGATGGTGCCACTGCACTCCAGCCTGGGTGACAGTGTGAGAGTCCATCTCAAAAAAAAAAAAAAAAAAAAAAAAGAAGTTCAAGATCAAGGTGTCAGCAGAGTTGTTTTCTTCTGAGGGCTTCTCTTCCTGGCTTTTAAATTTACTAATACTAACTTACTAATACTAATTGGGATACAACATGCCCATAGATGCCTATCATCTTTGTCTTCAAATGGTCTTTCCTCTGTGTTCTAGTTTCCTCTTCTTGTAAGGACATAAGTCATATTGGATAGGGCTCATCCATATAATTTCATTTTACCTTGATTGCCTCTTTAAAGGCTCTATCTTTAAATACAATCACATTCCGAGGTACTGCAGGCAGAACTTCTCAGTATATGAATTCTGCAGGGACACAGTTCAGCCCATAACACCATCCTAATGAATGTGAATTTGTAGGTCATTGTGGTTTTGATGTGCATTTCCCTGATGACTAATGCTACATCTTTTCATGTGCTTATTGGCCATGGGTATGGATTCTTTGGAGAAACATTTTCAGATCATTTGCCTATTTTAAAATTGAGTTATTTATCCTTCTATTGTTGGGTTGAAAGAGTTCTTTATATATTCTGGATACTAGACTCTAGTCAGATACATGATTTGCATATATTTTCTCCCATTCTGTAGATTCTCTTTTCACTTTGATAGTGTTCTTTGACACACAAAAGCTTTTAATTTTGATGAATTCCATCTTATCTATTTTTACTTTGCCTGCTTGTGCTTTTTGGTGTCATAGCAAACCATTTCCTGTTACAAGGCCATGAAGATACACACTTATGTTTCCTTCTAAGAGCTTTATGCTTTTACCTCTTACATTTCCATCTTTAGTCTATTTTGAGTTAATTTTAGTATGTGGTGTTAGGAGGGGTCTAAATTCATTATTTTACATGTGAATATCTAGTTTTCCCAGCACCATTTGTTGAAGACTATTTCTCTGCTCTCCCCATCTCTCCTTCCTATTGATTGCTTTTTGTTGAAAATCGCTTGACTGTAAACATATGGATATATGTCTGAACTCACAACTCTATGCCATTATCTATACAGTTACCTTTATACCAGTATCACACTGCCTTGATTACTGTAGATTTGTAGTGAGTTTTGAAATCAGGACATGTGAATTCTCCAATCTTTATTAACATTGTTTTGCTATTCAGAGTCCTTTGCATTTCCATATGAATTTTAAGATCAACTTGTTCCTTTCTGTTAAAAAAAAAAGTTGAAATTTTAATAGGGATTGCACTGAATTTGTATTCAATTTGGGGAGTATTGCCATCTTAATGACTTTCTCTCAATATTTTATTGTTTTAGGTGTACGAGCATTACATTTCCTTTGTTAAATTTATTCCCATTAGCCAGGTGTGGTGGTGCACGCCTGTAGTCCCAGCTACTTGGGAAGCTGAGGCAGGAGAATCGCTTGAACCTAGGAGGAAGAGATTGCAGTGAGCTCAGATTGTACCACTGCACTCCAGCCTGGATGACAGAGCAAGACTCTGTCTCAAAAATAAATAAAATAAATAAATAAATTTATTTCCAAATACTTTATTATTTTTGACAGTGTTGTAAGTAGAATTATTTTCTTAATTTCAGTTTTGGATTGTTCATTGTTAGTGTATAGAAATACAATTAATTTTTATATAAGGGCCTTGTATCTTTCAACTTTGCTAAACTTATTCTTTGGCTCTAAAAGCTTTTTGAGAGTGTGTGTAGATTCTTTAGAGTTTTCTATATATAAGATCATGTTGGCTGGGTTTGGTGGTTCACACTTGTAATCCCAGCACTTTGGGAAGTTGAGGCAGGTGGATCACTTGAGCCCAGGAGTTTGAGACCTCCCTGGGCAACATGGCAAAACTACATCTCTACAAAAAATACGAAAATTAGTCGGGCATGGTGGTGCATACCTGTAGACCCAGCTACTGGGGAGGCCGAGGTGGGAGGATCACATGAAGCAGAGGGAGAGGGTTGGGGGAGGTGGGGAGGTGAGGAGGTGGGTTGAGACTGCAGTGAGCCATGATTTTAAAAAACAACAACAACAACAAAACCTAAAAACAAACAACTTTGGCTGGATGCTGTGGCTCATACCTGTAGTTCCAGCACTTTGAGAGGCAAAGGCAGGCAGATTGCTTGAGTCCAGGAGTTCAAGACTAGCCTGGGCAACATGGTGAGACTCCATCTACACAAAAAATACAAAAATTAGGGGGGCATGGTGGTGCACACCTGTAATCTTAGCTACTTTGGAGGCTGAGGTGAGAGGATTACTTGAGCCCGGGATGTCGAGGCTGTAATGAGTCAAGATTGCGCCACTGCACTCCAGCCTGGGTGACAGAATGAGGCCCTGTCTCAATTAAAAAAAAATCGTATCATCTGACAATAAAGATTGTTTCACCTCTACCTTTCCAACCTGGATGACTTTTATTTCTTTTTCTTGTCTAATTGCCTCCGCCAGAACTACCAATACAATATTGAATGGATGTGGAGGAGCGGACATCCTTGTCTTGCTCCTGCTTAGGGGGAAAGCTTTCAGTTTTTCACCATTGAGAATGATGTTAGCTGTGGGTTTTTCATCAGTGCCCTTTTTCAGTTTGAGGAAGTTCCCCTTCTATTCCTAGTTGGTTGTGTATTCTTAACATGAAAGGATGTTGGATTTTGTCAAATGTCTTTTCTGCATCTATTGAGATGATCCTGTATTTTTTCCCTTTATACTATCAATATGGTGTATTACATTGATTTACTTTCATATATTGAACCAACTTTGCATTTTGGAGATAAATCCCACATGTTCATGTCATGTAATCCTTTTACTGTGCTGCTAGATTTGGTCTGTGAGTTTTCAGTTGAGGATATTCACAAGGAAATTTTTTTTCTTGTGATTATTTGGCTGTGGTACCTGGGTAATACTGGCCTCATAAAATGAGTTGGAAAGTATTCTCTTTTCTTCTTTTATTTGACAGAGTTTGAGAAAGATTGACGTTAATTCTTCTTTAACACTCAGTTTCACTGAATTCATTGGAAAAAGCTTCTAATCCCAGGCTTTTTGTTTGTTGACATTTTTTTGATACAGACTTAATGTCTTTACTGGTCTATTCTGACATTTTTGTCTTCTTGAGTCGGTTTTGGCTTTGTCTTTCGTTCCTTTAGACGTGGTTTTCTTTAGCTTTTTGGATGTATTTAAAGTAGCCAATTTAAAATTTATGTCTAGTAAGACCAACATCTGAGCTTCCTCATGGACATAGTTTTTAATTGATTGCTTTTTTATCTGTGTATGGGTCACACTTTTTGTTTTTTATAATGCTTCATAAATTTTTGTTGAAAAATTAATTATTTTAAATATTCTAATATGACAACTCTGAAAGTCAGATTATCTCTCCTTCCTAGAGTTCATTGTTAGTGCTTATTGTAGTAGTTGTTTATTTAGTTTTCTGAACTAATTCTGTTAAATCTGTTATTTGTTGTGTGTGACCACTAAAGTCTCTGTTCCGTTAGCTTATTAATTAGGCAGAGATTGGACAGCAAATGATTGGACAGTGATTTCCTTAGGTGCTGGAACCAAAAAAACAGCTCCCAGTCTTTGCAGAGAGGCCCTGTTTTTATTTTATTTTATTTCTATTTTTTACGGTGACAGGGTCTCACTATATTGCCCAGGCTAGTCTCAGACTCCTGGGCTCAAGGGATCCACCTACCTTAGCCTCCAAAGTGCTGGGATTATAGGCACGAGCCACCGCGCCTGGCCTTATTTTATTTTTATTTACTTATTTATTTTGAGACACCGTCTTGCTATATCATCCAGGTTGGCATGCAGTGGCATGATCTTAACTTACCACAACCTGTGCCTCCCAGGCTCCAGCAATTCTCTTGTTTCAGCCTCCTGAGTAGCTGGGACTACAGGTGTACGCCACTATGTTGGGGACCAGCCTCAACACCACCTGTAGGGTACTCGAAGTCCGGTGGTGACAAAGGAATGAGAAGAGACAGCTTAAGAGTTTATAAAGGTGGGAGCCAGGGGGCCAGTTGCAAAATGGAGGCTGCAAAAGGTTTAGAGCTCTGGTCTCTATACTATTTATTGAGTACAATTACTTAGATTTAAGAAGCAGATTTTTAGGGCGAAACAGTGAAAGGGTTGCAGTGCGTCATAGGCGTAATTTATAGTAATAGCGGTTTAAATGAATCTCCTTTGTGCTCAAACAGCGTATCTTTAACTATCAGAGAGCAGCTAGTGGGAGCGGCTTAACTAGGAGCCTGCATGTCTGTCTACATTTCAGTGTTTTAAAGGAGTGTCTTTCTCCCTGAACACAGTGTTTACAGATAAGAGAGCGGGTCTAGTTCTGAGCATGGGAACATGATGGCAATTAGGAGGCTTTCCTCCTCAGAGGCCTCTTGCGGCTTTCCACAACTTAATGTCCCATATTTTTATGGCCAGTTCATACAGGCACCCCACAAGCCCTTTTCCTGAATGAGAAGAGACAGGTTGAGAGTTTGTAAAGGTGGGAGCCAGGGGGCCAGTTGCAAAATGGAGGCTGCAAACAGTTCAGAGCTCTGGTCTCCACACTATTTATTGAGTACAATCACTTAGATCTAAGAAGCACATGTTCAAGGCGAAACAGTGAAAGGGTTGCAGTGCGTCATAGGCGTAATTTATAGTAATAGCGGTTTAAATGAATCTCCTTTATGCTCAAACAGCATATCTTTAACTTATCGGAGAGTAGCTAGTGGGAGCGGCTTAACTAGGAGCCTGCATGTCTGTCTACATTTCAGTGTTTTAAAGGAGTGTCTTTCTCCCTGAACACAGTGTTTACAGATAAGACAGCTGGTCTCTCTCTGAGCATGGGAACTTGATGGCAATTAGGAGGTTTTCCTCCTCAGAGGCCTTTTGTGGCTTTCCACAACCTATTGTCCATATTTTTATGGTCAGTTTATACAGGCACTCCACAAGCCCTTTTCCCAACACCACTATGCCCTGCTATTTTTTTTTTTTTTTTTTTTTTTTTTTTTTGCATTTTCTTGTAGAGATGGGGCCTCACTATGTTTCCCAGGCTGGTCTTGAACTCCTGGGCTCAAGTGATCCACCTGCCTCAGCCTCTCAAAGTGCTGGGATTATAGGTGTAAGCCACTGCACCCTGCAGAGGCCCTGTTTTTATGCAGGTGTACATCTTCAACACTCAGCCAGGCAGTTTACAACCCTGCCTTAGTCTTCTCATCTTGCTTGTACAGAGCTTCAAGTTTGGCTAGATGTGAAAGCTTAAAGCCTTCTCAAGTCTTTCCTGAGCATCTGCGTAGCTCTGGTCATGTGCATGGTCTTCTAGATTCTCAAGAATATATTGGAACTTTTCAAGGCCCTTATTCTTCCAAAGCTTCTCATTCTCCAGCCTTTTCTCTCAAGCTTCTTGGGCAGTCGATTGTTTGCTCAGCTGTTATCCATTACTTCAGGGAGCAAAGACAAACACATTTACCTATAAATATTTGTGGAAAAATGTCCCCTGGTTAATGGCTTTAGCGTTGGGACAAGGTGAAGATAAGCCTTTTGAGTTGGTCTTCTGAAAGCCACCAGACAAATAAGACCAGATATTTATTTATTTATAGTAATAATTACTATTCTATAAAAATGAGGTCTCTTCTCCCTCAGAACTAGTTGTAGGAATGTTGGCTGTTATTTTCAAGGATATCCCTGAGTTGAGGAGCAGGGGATGGGCCTAGGGTTAGTTAAAATGCCAGAAAGTTTGCTGTTCTTAGAGATTCAGCCTATTTTCTTTCTTTCTTTTTTTTTTCTTTTTTGAGACAGAGTCTCGCTCTGTCGCCCAGGCTGGAGTGCAGTGGCGTGATCTCAATTCACTGCAACCTCCGCCTCCCAGGTTCAAGCAATTCTCCTGCCTCAGTCTCCCGAATAGCTGGGACTACAAGTGCCCACCACCACACCCGGCTAATTTTTTGACTATTTAGTAGAGACGAGGTTTTACCATGTTGGCCAGGCTGGTCTCAAACTCCTGACCTCGTGATCCGCCCGCCTCCGCCTCCCCAAGTGTTGGGATTACAGGTATGAGCCACCACGCCCAGCTGAGATTCAGCCTATTTTCTTAAATAAGTGTTCCTGGGTTGCTGTAAGCTTTTGGTTAGTTTCCAGAGTTCTGAAAGAGTTAATACTGAGAGTTTTTGTTAGTTTTTTCATAGTTTATGTGGAGCAGTGAACTTTTGGAGTTCCCCCTAACAAAGAATCAGTTTTTGGTTTCATTGGTTTTTCTTTATTGCTTTTCTCTTTTTCTATTTCATTGTTTTTCTCTTTTTAAAAAAATTTCATTGAGTTATTACTCTTTTCTTTATGTTTTATTCCTTATTCTTGCTCTAGGGTTCAATATTTTTTTTTCTAGCTTCTTAAAGTAGAAGCTTAGTTCATGACCCTTCTTCTTGTCTACTATAAGCCATCAAGGTTATACATTTCCCTCTAAGCACTGCATTAGCTGTGTCCCACACATTATGATATGCTTCCATTTTCATTCAATTCCAAATATGTTTAAAAGTTTTTGTCACTTATTTTTGATCCAGGCATCTTTAAGAATTGTATTTACTTTCCAAATATTCATGAATTTTATGGGTAACTTTCTATTATTAACTTCTAGTTTAATTCCCTGAGGTCACAGAGCAAATCCAATTTATATTGGTTTTAAAAATTTTGTTAACATTTATTTATTTATTTATTGAGACGGAGTTTCGCTCTTGTTGCCCAGGCTGGAGTGCAATGGTGCGATCTCAGCCCACTGCAACCTCCGCCTCCCGGGTTCAAGTGATTCTCCTGCCTCAGCCTCCTGAGTAGCTGGGATTACAGGCATGTGCCACCATGCCTGGCTAATTTTGTATTTTTAGTAGAGACAGGGTTTTTCTACATTGGTCAGACTGGTCTCCAACTCCCAACCTCAGGCTATCTGCCCACCTTGGCCTCCCAAAGTGCTGAGATTACAGGCATAAGCCACTGCGCCCAGCCTGTTAACATTTATTTTATAGCCCAGGATATGGCCTGACTTGTTGAATGTTTTCTGTACACTTGAAACAAACATTTTCTGCTACTATTGAGTGGCGTGTTCTATAAATGTCTATCAGGTAGAGTTGGTTGATAGAGCTTTTCAGGTTTTCTGTATCCTTATTCATTTATTTGTTTACATGTTTTGTCAATTACCGAGAGAGGAGCGTTGAAATCTTTTTTGTTTTTTTTGAGACAGATTCTTGCTCTATTGCCCACGCTAGAGTGCAGTTGCATGATCTTGGCTCACTGCAACCTCCACCTCCCTGGTTCAAGTGATTCTTGTGCTTCAGCCTCCCAAGTGACTGGGGTTACAGGAATGTGCCACCACGCCGGCTAATTTTTGTATTTTTAGTAGAGATGAGGTTTTGCCATGTTGGCCAGGCTGGTCTTGAACTCCTGGCCTCAAGTGATCTACCCACTTCAGCCTTCTAAAGTGCTAGGATTACAGGCATGTGCCACCATGCCAGGCCTGAGTGTTGAAATTTTAACTATAATTGTGGATTTGTCTATTTCTTCTTTTAGTTCTAATCGTTTTTGCTTTTTACATTTTTAGTTTTGTTATTAGGTATATACACATTTAGAATTGCTCTGTCTTCTTTATGAATTGAATTCTTTAAGTTTTGTCCTTCTTTATTCCTGATCATATTTCTTTGTCTTAAGTATTTCTAGTAGTGTTTTCGTGGCACATGTTTTTCCACTTTTTAAATTTTTAATCAATAATATCTGGTAAATCAAAGAAACTCAGAGAACATGGAGAGGAAGTTGCTAAGGATGATATCAAATAGCTAACTAATGTAATTAAATGGAGAGTAAAACCAGTCATGGAGATAGAAATAGGTATATGAGGGGAAAAAATGTTGAGATTTTGATTTGTTCTGTTTCCAGTGTTAGATATATAATAAAGATGTAGGTAAAGTGAGTCAAGTCCTGGAAGAGAGATATGCTGGGAGATAGACATTTGCAAGTCAATGGGAATAAAGAACAAAGGATCAAAGGCAAAATCTTGAGAAACAAGAATACTAAAAGTTCTTGGAAGGAATAGAAACCAGCAAAGGAGACTGAAAAAAGAGCAAGTCATCTGAGTATAAAAGAGAAAAGAGAAATAATGCTGACTCATATGCTAAGAATATACAAAAGTTTTAAAAAGGTAGAAATGGTCAGAGACTTTCAAAATCCAGAAATATTGGGCAAATTGAGGTCACTGGAAACTGTTTTCAGAGCAGTTTCAGAGTAGCAATATAGAGGTGAAACCAGATTGAATTGGACATGGGAATAAATGGGTGATGATGCAATGTTGATGTAGATTACTTTAAAATCAACTTAAACAACTTTGACGGTGAGTGGAAGGAGAAAGAAAGGAAGAAAAGAAGGCAAAATGAATAATGCCCTTTACTCCCTTCTCTCCTGGCTAACTCCCATCTCTCTTCCAAGACTCAGTCTTCTATCAGAAAGCCTTAGGCGATCTTCCATCCTGAATTGATGTGCTCTTTAGTACTCCATATATACATTCACCATGGTACTTATCACAGTATATTTTGTGTCTTTATTTTTCCTACTAGATGGTACTTGAGAACAGGGACTATCTACCTTTTTTTTTTTTTTTTTTTTTTTGAGAGAAGTCTTGCTCTTGTCCCCCAGGCTGAAGTGCAATGGTGCGATCTTGGCTCACCGAAACCTCCACCTCCCGGGTTCAAACGACTCTTTTGCCTCAGCCTCCCAAGTAGCTGGGATTGCAGGCGCCTGCCACCACGCCTGGCTAATTTTTTGTATTTTTAGTAGAGACGGGGTTTCACCATGTTGGCCAGGCTGGTCTCGAACTCCTGACCTGAGGTAATCCGCCCGCCTCGGCCTCCCAAAGTGTTGGGATTACAGGCGTGAGCCACCGCGCCCGGTCGGAGAACAGGGACTATCTTTGTAACTCCAATGCCAAATTGGCATCATGTCTGGCACATAGTAGGTGGTGAATTCAGGTTTAATGAATGACTAATAGACTTAGATATATGTAGGTTGAAAAGAAGGAGCCAGTGGTGAGAAAGAGATTAAACATACAGAAAGGAGATTTGGAATGTCATTGAAACAGTGTCTTAAGGTTTGCCAAAGAGGATGGGATTCAGATCACATGTGGAGTCATTAGCTGTAAAAATGAGCAAGTGATATGTGTACGTTTCAGACTGGCATGGAAATGTGAGAAGACAAAGGAATTGGTACTAAGGGCCATAGCTGCTTCTTCCTCTTCTTTTTTCCCTGTAAAGAAGAGTGGTGGTGCGGAGAGTAGGGAGGCAAAAGGAAGAGGAACAGAGTCTTTAGGATAATGGCAAAGACTTGGCATGAATATTTTGTGGAATGAAAAGGAACCTTGATCACAAAAAGATAAAGGAACTGCCAAGCGTTGATAACAACCTCAGCTGAAATTGGAAACTGTAGTGAGTGACTCGGAGAGGTCGAGTGACATATTTCTTTCTTCTAGCCAGAGGCGGACTCCAGATTTTCGAACCTGTGGGGATTTTTAAAAGATTGATATTGGCTTGGGAGCTTTTTTGGGTTGGGGGCTTGCTGTGCAGATGTGTTACAGAAAGGCGCTCAATGGAAGGAAATTCGTCTTAGAAAGAAGTAAGGGATATGTCTCAGAGAATGAGATGTTGCTGTGGGTATTTAAAATGATAGGCTGTGAATAGGTAAGGAAAGAAGGTGCTAGGCTATGGTATCTCTCCATCCCTTCAACACTCCACTTAAGTTTGTACCACGGCGGGGCGGAGGCAGGGAGGACCACGCTCTCCCGGTGTGGCGTGGCTATACCAACTCTCATAAAATCTCATAAAAGGTGACGGAGCTAGCGTACAAGAGGTCGTCTTTAGTGGAGAGGCCTGAGGTCTCCGCAGTGACGGGGGTGGCAGCGCGACCCCTTAGTCTTCAACTACAGGCCAGTCCCAGGTGCCCCAAAGGGGCTAGAATCTAAGGAGGAGTCTCCCCTCCCCCTAGAAGCGGGAGATAGCCTGGCCCGGAAGCTTCTCTGCTGACCCGGAAGCAGAGCTGTGCAGCTGAGGCGCCGCCGTGGAGCCGCCTTGGAGCCACCGCCCCCTCGCCGCTTCGCCGCTGCGTTGGGGAACCTGGACCGCGGCGGCGCCGGGTTTCCCTCATGATCCCGGGCGGGTGGCGGCGGCGGCAGAGGCGGCGGGAGGATGACCTCTTACCGGGAGCGGAGTGCCGACCTGGCCCGTTTCTACACTGTCACCGAGCCCCAGCGACACCCGAGGGGCTACACAGTATATAAGGTCACCGCCCGGGTGAGTGCCGGTGTCGGGCTGGGGTAGAGCTTGGATTGGGACCTGAGGATCTGGGGTGGGGACCCTGATGTGAGGGTACCTGACTCTGGCTCAGAGCCGAGGGTGGGACTGGGTGCTGCTCCTACTGGCGGGACTTGGGTGTCGGAGGTTGGGATTTTTAGAGTAGTGGCTGAGTGTGATATGCCCAGGGCTTCACTGTAGTAGGTCGTGGTAGAGTCCTCTTTCTGGGGGTGGGGCAGTCAGTGGTTGATGGTTTTAAATTGATGACTCAGTTCCCATCCCGTTTGGACTTTCTCTTCTGAGTTCGCAATTTGCAGAAGTGGTTTTGCTTGCTCCAGGAAGATAATGCAGATTAAAAAGTGTTAATTTATGTATTGTTTGGCTTATGTAATATAAGTTGTTTTTTCTCTTGACCTTTATCAGGTTTGCTGTGAGAAAGACAGATTCTTGGGACAGATGTCAGTGTTAGGCCACCAACCTAGGAACTGTGGATCCGGGCTTTGTCAAACCTTTGAGTTTTTCATGTTTTTCAGTAGGAGACGTGAAAAAAATCTGCTGAGGGTGGCTTGTGTGAGCTACCATGAGGGCACATTTTAAAGTTGGGAGGCTCCTTTACATCAACTAACTGGTCCAATTTTTAGTACCCACTTTATGTTTCATTGCTTTTGCCTTGAGTTTTAAAGAGAGTCTGCATCTTCTAGGAAAGTAAGAATAAATCAAAATTAAATAAGTATATATGTATGTGACGTATGTGTGCATGAATATATGTGTATAGTAGGCATTTTATGCACATCACCCAATTTAATTCTCATTTTAATGAGGAAGAAATAGATTAAAGCAAGTTTAGTAACTTGCCCAACTTTACATTGCAAGGCAGTAGCAGATCTGTCTGGGATCTGAAACCAGTTTTGCCTAACTCCAAGTTATATAAAATGTTAATAATTAACTTTATCAATTTTTAAAGAAGAGAGGTACAGATTAAGTAACAGTAGTTCAATATACATTTGGAGGATGTAAAGCAGGCCTTCAGAATAATTTTTTTTTTTTTGAGACGGAGTTTCGCTCTTGTTGCCCAGGCTGGAGTGCAATGGCATGATCTCTGCTCACCGCAACCTCTGCCTCCTGAGTTCAAGCGATTCTCCTACCTCAGCCTCCCGAGTAGCTGGGATTACAGGCATGTGCTACCATGCCCTGATAATTTTTTGTATTTTTAGTAGAGATGGGGTTTCTGCATGTTGCTCAGGCTCATTTCGAAGTCCTGACCTCAGTTGATCCGCCTGCCTCGGCCTCCCAAAGTGCTGGGATTACAGGCATGAGCCACCACACCCAGCCTGAGAAGAATCTTAAAGGTTAAATAGATCAGTTTGGGGCATGGGAGTGGCACGTGATGTATGGAAATGGTGCACAATTCAGATAAATGTGAGAAGGAGGGATAGATGAACATGTCTGTATAAAGATAATGAGAAGACCTGACCTGCTATTGCCGATTGCTGTTCGGAGAATAGAGGGATGTTTGTTGCTCCCTGCTTGCACTTAAGGTTGTTACATGGGTGGAATGTTAGTTTCAGGTTGTGTAAGAAATTTTGTGAGAGTGAGGGGCCCTTATTATACCACTCTTGAAACCTTTCTAGTCATTGGGCCCTTTGAAAATCTAGGCTTAGTTTCCTAACACATAGTGTATGGAATCAGAACAGTTTTCAACATACGTAATGTTTCTCTCACAGCATCCTACTTATCCGTTAATTTAACAGGAAAGTTATATTGTATTAATTTAGTTGCATGTCTGTGTCTCTTAGTGGATTTAGAGCAGTTCTCTATCATTGGCATTTGTTTCTGCTTATATCAAATAATAGATAAAAGAACATGCATGTGCATGGCACACAGTGCCTGAAAAACATTGTTGAATGTTTTCCTCTTCATTGTACGGAGCACACCCAATAAATGTTTAGATCCAGGCACTAAATACTGAGGGACATAAGGCTGAATAAAGCAGGGATCTTTATTCCTTTCAAGGATACTCATAGTAGAAGAGAGTTTAGTATACTTAAGTGTGATATAACACAGGAAGTTCCAGCAGACACTACAGAAAAGGGCTGTGGGAAGACAGATTGCTTCTGGATCAAGAGATTGGGGAATATGTACCAATCAAGATAGTTGAAAGAGGGGAAGAATCCAGAAAAGGAGAGGGTATGAAAAGGTAGACAGTTGAAGGGGTAGAGTCCATAAAGACCTGGAGGTATGAATGTGTGTGGAACTGGAATTGGAAGCACTGAGTATAATTATTTGTATTGTTACTTTACAAAAGGAAAGGTTAACCAAATTCAGAATTTTTTTTTTTTTTTTCCAAGGCGTAGTCTCGCTCTCTTGCCCAGGCTGGAGTGCAGTGGCGCTATCTCAGCTTACAGTAACCTCGCCTCCTGGGTTCAAGTGATTCTCCTGTCTCAGCCACTCAAGTAGCTGGGATTACAGGCGCCCTCCACCATACCCGGCTAATTTGTCTATTTTTTGTAGAGACGAGGTTTCGCCTTGTTGTCCAGTCTGGTCTCGAACTCCTGACCTCAGGTGATCCACCCACCTCAGCCTCCCAAAGTGCTGGGATTACAGGCGTGAGCCACCGCATTGGCCAAATTCAGATCTTAAATATCTGAAGCTGTGACCTATTTACTGAGCTAAGTTTTGACAATATAAACTAGAAGATAAAGTAGCACATTGCCTTAGAACTAACCACATTTATATATATGCATGTTACATATTGCTCTGGTTATTTGAACTTGAAAATTGCACAGACTGCCTTTTTTCTTCCCGTAAATATTTATGTCTTCATTTATTGCTTATGTTACAGATTTTGTTTTTAAAATGTAAGGTCTGAGAGTCAACGTGGAGACATACTTTTAAAATAACTGTGCTTAGTATTATAAAATATTTCTTGAGAGTTAAGGAGAAAAACACCTTTTTTCAGGATAATTAACCAGGTAAATAGTGCTCTCCTGAGAGAACTTCATGAGATAAAAATTAAGAATGTCTTCTGTATATTTTCTACTACTGATTTACTTCTAGCTTCAAGGAACAATTTTCTATATTTTTGATCCTTGCAGGGTTATTTCTGTAGGAGTAGAGTTTTAATCATTGGAAGTACCAATGTTAAATTTTGGATAGCAAAAGAGCTTTTTCATCTTCTTAAATCTCCTTTGTGCTTTTTTGCAGTTCTCTGAAATCTGGCAAGGTTAGATGATTTTGAGGCCAGTTGCAAGCATACTAACAGATTCTGCAGTTAAACTCAGTGTTATTTCTTAATTTTTATGTAGAATAAGTACCTCTATTCAGAATTGGAAAATTCTTTCATAAGTTCCCTTTGATTCTTTAGTTGAAGGAGACACAAGTGTAAGAGAACCATCAGCAGTGTTTTCAGTTATTTCATCATGCTAAGTTTACAAAATTCTCATATTGTAGTATAGATTTCTCAGCAACAGTAGGTGAATGGCAGTTCTTGCCTGTATTCTTTCCATGAGTATAAAAGGTATGTTTTTATTCTCAAAAGACAGTGCTGTATTATAACTTATTTAATTTACATTGAGTCATAATTTATATACAGTAAAATTCACCCATTGTAAGTGTCCAATTTGATGAGTTTTGACAAATGTATACAGTTGTGTAACTACCCATGTTCATCACTGCACAAGTTCCCTCATGTTCCTTTGCAGTCAGTCACTCCCCCTCATTCCCTATCTCTAGGCAACCACTGGTTTGCTTTCTGTCACTATAGATTGGGTTGTATTTTCTAGAATTTTGTATACAAGGAATCATATAGTATGCACTTTTTTTTTTTGGTCTGGCTTCTTCCACTCAGTATGATTATTTGAGATTTATCCATGTTGTCATGTGTTTCATTCCCTTTTATTGCTGACTCATATTCCATTGTATGGTTATACTGCATTTTATCTGTATATACTGCATTTTATCTGATGGATATTTGGGTTGTTTCCAGTTTTTGGACATTATGAATACAGCTATTATGAACATTCATATACAAGTCTTTGTATGGACATATGGTTTTATTTCTCATGATACCACATGGCTTTGTTTATGTAGCTTTATACTAAGTTTTGAAATCAGGTAGTCTAAGTACTCTTTCTTTCTCAAAATTGTTCTGGCTATTCTAGATTGTTTGCATTTGTGTATAAAATTTAGAATCAGCTTGTCTGGTTTCTACAAAAATGCCTGTCCAGATTTTGATTGGGATTATATTGAGAATGTAGATGAATTTCAGAAGAATTGATATCTTAATAATATTGTCTCTGATCCATGAACATAATATATCTCCTCATTTATTTAGCTCTTCAGTATGAGCAGTGCTTTGTAATTCTCAGGATACAGTCTTGCACATGTTTATTTTTATTTATTGATCTTTTTCAGAGATGGGGGTTTCACTGCATCACCCAGGCTCGAGTGCAGTGACGCAATCATAGCTTACTGCAGGTTGAACTCTTGGGTTCAAGTGTTACTCCCTCCTCAGCCTATTGCCTGGGATTGTGGGCACAAGCTACCTCATTGGCTTTGCACCTATTTAAAGTAGTTTGGGTTTATTTTGAAACCAGGAGAATGTATAAATCCTAGTTTTATTATACGTAGCTAGTGTTTGTTGAGTAATAACAGCAAACACTTACATGGTGCTTACTGAGTCAAGCAGTTTATATTAAATTAACACATTTGTCACAGGGGCCCGGTGAGTAGGTACCATTATCATTTCCACATTTTCAATGAGGAAATTGAGGCACAGAGACGTTTAGTAACTTGTCCAGGGTCATATAGCCAGCAAGTGGTAGAGTCTACATTTGAACCCAGGTAGACTGGTCCCAATCACAGTGCTTTTAATCCCAATGCTATGCTGCTGAATACCTGTATTATAAAACATTTTTCATTAGGTGCTGTGAGTGTGCATATGGGGACACCTATGTGTCCCCACAAGGGCATTACTATAGTTTGGCAAAAGTGATGGATACGTGAATAATAAGTAACTGTGATGATGTGAACAAAGGGGAGTGAGGGAATTAATGGGAAGTACTGAGCTTCACTTAAGTCTGAAAAATTACCATTTCCAAAGCTTCAAATCGAAGCACTATTTATATTGCTTGGAGGGAACCTGTCCTCATTTCCTGACCATATTCTTAAGCAGCCTGCTTGTGCCTGGGAATGGAATTATTTGTAGTTTCCAAATTAGGTTAGAACACTACATTCTTCCATATCTCTCTGTTAGATGCTATTTTCTCTGTCTGGAATACTCTTTCCTTTTGTCTTGGCAATCTCTGCTCATCTCAGGTGTCAGCTATACCCTGTGTTCCGGGAAGCTTTTTTTTTTTTTTTTAGGCGTTGCTCTCTATATGTCTTGTATCTCCTCCGTTATCATAATGTACTTGTTTGACACCTCTTCTGATGGCAGACTCTATTCTTTTTTGAGAGTCTCACTCTGTCACCCAGGCTGGAGTGTAGTGGAACGATCACGGCTCACTCTAGCCTTGACTTTGCAGGCTCAAGCAATCCTCCCACCTCAGCCTCCCTAGTAGCTGGAACTACGGGAACATGCCACCCTGCCTGACTAATTTTTGTATTTTTTTTAAGAGACGGGGTTTCACCATGTTGCCCAGGCTGATCTTGAACTCCTGAGCTCAAGTGATCCACCCATCTCAGCCTCCCAAAGTGCTGGGATTACAGGCGTGAGCCACCATGCCCGGCTGACTCTGTCTTTTTAACTGTATATTCTTGGTGCCTAGCACAGAGCTTGGACTATAGTAGGGATTTCAGGGTAGGCTGGAAGGAGGCAGCGCTTTGCTTTTCAAGTATTGATTTTTAAATTAACATACAATGAAATTGACTTATTCTTTTGTATAATTCTTTGAATCTTAACATGAGTATAAATTCATTTATCTACCACCATAATCAAGAAACAGAAGTTTCATCATCCTAAAAAAACTCCACCCTTCCCCCTACTCCTTATACCCTGGCAAGCAGCGATCTATCTATACTACTATACTTTTGTCTTTTTGAGAATGTCATATAAATAGAATCATATAGTATTTAGCCTTTTAGACTGATAATTTGCCTATTTTTTTCTTTGGGTTGTTTGTTTCTTACTCCTGAGTTTTGAGAGTTCTTTATGTTCTGGGTATCTTTTTTTTGGGGTTTGATATGACATTTGTAAATATTTTCTCCTGATCTAGAGCATATCTTTTAATTCTCTGAAGTATCTTTTTTTTTTTTTTTTTTTTTTTTCCTTTGAGACAGAGTCTCCCTCTGTTGTCCAGGCTGGAGTGCAGTGGCGTGATCATGGCTCACTGTAGCCTTGACCTCCTGAGCTCAAGCAATTCTCCCACCTCTCAGCCTCCTGAGTGGCTGGGACTACAGGAATGTGCCACTGTGCCCAGCTAATTTTTGTATTTTTTAAATAGAGACCCAGTTTCACCATGTTGTCCAGGCTGGTCTCAAACTCCTGGTCTCAAGCAATCTGCCTGTCTTGGCCTTCCAAAGTGCTGGGATTACAGACGTGCGCCTGACCTTTTTTTTTTTTTTTTTTTTTTTTTTAGAGATGGGGTCTTGCTGTGTTGCCAGGGCTGGAATGCAGTGCTTATTCGCAGGTGTGATCATAGTGTGCTACAGCCTCGACCTCCTAGGCTGAAGTGATACCCACCTCAGCCTTCCAAGTAGCTAGGACTACAGGTATGCCACTGCACCCAGACAGTGTTTTTGCAAAGCACAATTTGTAATTTTGGTGAAGTCCAGTTTATCAGTTCTTTATTTTATGAACCATGCTTTTAGTGTCATACCTAAAATCTCTGCCTAACCTCAGGTTACAAATATTTTTCCCAATGTTTTCTTCTAGATAACTTATTTCTTTGCATTTTATATTTTGCTCTATGATCCATTTTGAGGTTTTTTTTTTTGTTTTTTGTTTTTTTATAAGGTGTAAGGTTTGGGTGAAGGTTCTGTTTTTGCCTCTGGTTGTCCCATTGCAACAAAACACCATTTGTTCAAGAGACTAACCTTTCTTCGTTGAATTGCCTTTATTCCTTTGCCAAAAGTCAATTGACTATATATGTGTAAAGCTGTTTCTGGATTCTCTTATTTTGTTCCATACCATACAATCTTGATTATTATAGCTTTATACTATATCTTAAAATTAGGCAATATTGTTTCTCCAATTTTATTCTTTTTCAAAATTATTTTGACTACCCTAGTTCCTTTGCTTTTTCATATATATTTTAGAATCAGTTTATCTATAGCTACAAAAAATCCTTTTGGGATTTGATTAGGAGTGCATTAAATCTGTAGATCACTTTAGGGAAAAATGGACATCTTTTCTATGTTGAATCTTCAAATCTATGAACACAGTATGTCTTGCAGTTTATTTGTGTTCTCTGATCTCTTCTATCAGCATTTTGTGGTTTTGAGCAAATTGCTTCTCTGTATATTTTGTTAGATTTATTCCCCACTATTTCGTATTTTTGTAGCTATTGTCAATAGTATTTTTAAAAATCTTGGTTTTCAGCTTTTCTTTGCTAATATATAGAAATTTGGTTCATTTTTGTGTTGTCTTTATATCACGTGACTTTTTTTAAATTATACTTTAAGTTTTAGGGTACATGTGCACAACGTGCAGGTTAGTTACATATGTATACATGTGCCATGTTGGTGTATCATGTGACCTTTCAAACTGACTTATTAGTTCTAAGACTTTTTAGTAGAATTCTTGGTTTTTTCCTGCATAGACAATCTGTGTTGTCTGCCAAAAGGCATAGTTTTATTTATTCTTTCCAAAATGTATGTCTTTTATTTCTTTTTCTTGCTTTATTACACTGGCTATGACTTGTAGTCCACAGTCTTGAATAGGAGTGGTGAGAGTAGACTTCCTTGCCTTGTTCTTGATGTTAGGAGGAAAGCATTCAGTCTTTTATCCTCTAGTATAATTTTCACGGTAGAGTTTTTGTGTATGGGAGGCTGCATGTTTTATTTATTTATATATATATATTTTGAGACAGAGTCTCACTTGTCATCCAGGCTGGAATGCAGTGGTGCGATCTCAGCTCACTGCAGCCTCCGCCTTCCGGGTTCAAGTGATTCTCCTGCCTCAGCCTCCCGAGTAGCTGGGATTACAGGCATGTGCTACCACACCGGCTAATTTTTTTTTTTTGAGACGCATCTCGCTCTGTTGCCCAGGCTGGAGTGCAATGGCGTGATCTTGGCTCACTGCAACCTCTGCCTCCCGGGTTCAAGCAATTCTCTTGCCTCAGCCTCCTGAGTAGGTGAGACTACAGGCACCCGCCACCGTGCCCAGCTAATTTTTATGTGTTTAATAGAGATGGGGTTTCATCATGTTGACCAGGATGGTCTCCATCTATTGACCTCGTGATCTGCCTGCCTCGGCCTCCCAAAGTGCTGGGATTACAGGCGTGAGCCACTGCGCCTGGCCACACCCGGCTGATTTTTTTGTATTTTTAGTTGAGACGGGGTTTTGCCATGTTGGCCAGGCTGGTCTCTAACTCCTGGCCTCAGGTGATCCGCCCACCTCAGCCTCCCAAAGTGCTGGGATTGCCGGTGTGAACCACCGCGTCCAGCTGCATGTTTTACTTTTTAGTTTTGTTAGCTTTTAAATTTTGAAGTAATATGTAGTCATACACATTTCAAGCAATAATTTGAGTCACTTTAAAGGAAAAAAGAAAGAACCTACTAAATTTTAAATCCTTAACCTGTTAGGATTATTAACAAATGTCTGATATTAAGGCAGTGGGAGTTGTTAGATTTCAGTTGTTAAATCAGTAGCTTCTTGAAGATTTCTTGAATAAATACTTAGTTTTGGCTTAATCTGGAGATATTTTCAACAAACAAAATAATCATAGGGATAGGGAGGGCAATTAGTTTGTTGTAAAATATATTTATGCTTAAAATTTTTGAAAAATGGCTCTCAAGGTGTCTTGTGTTTTCTAGAGTCTAGTTTTATTCTACTGTTCCTTTGTTTTTAACTTGTAATATTGTTTAGTAGAAAACTTTCTAATATACCAAAAATTTCAGTAAATGGAACTTAAAAAATGTAAACCATTCCTGATTTCATCTTGTTTGTTGACAACTTGTCTCAGATATTAAGATTTTATATTAAACTGCAGACTTTCTTTAACATTAAGGATTTTGATTTTCCTTGAACCTTGATTGGAAAATAGTTTAGAATACTGCTATAATTGGTAAAATTTGAGGTGAGAAAAATAACTTTAGCAAACATATACTGAGTATCTAGAGATAACTTGCAGTTTTAGCTTCTTTACTCTCCCTGAGATTTTGGGATTTTAATAATCTAGAAAGCCACAACTCCTTACTGTCTTTGTCAGTTTGGATTTTTATAACAAGATATTATAGACTAGATGGCTTCAACAATAGACATTTCTTTCCCACAGTTCTGAAGGCTGCAGGCTGGGAAGTCCAAGACCAAGAGGCCAGCAGATTTAATACCTGATGAGGGCCCGCTTCCTGATTTGCATACAGCTGCCTTCTTGCTGTATGGTCTCATGGCTGAGAGAGATCATTGTCTTTTTCTTGTAAGCGCAGTAATCCCATCATGAAGTTCCCACCCTCATGACCTGATTACCTCTGGAAGGCCTCACATCCACATCCATCACATTGGGGATGAGAGTTTCAACATGAAATTCAATATGAATTTTAGGAGAAACACAAACATTCAGTCTGTAGTACTTTTGACATAATGCTTTCGTGAAAACTTGTTAGAAAGTTGAATGTCTAAAATTTGTCCCATTGACTTATCTATCTTATATGGGAGTTCTTTCACTCCAGAGAACTAAAAATTATAAAATGTCTAATTATGGTTTGTGCAGGTGTTGCCTCTTGGGTCCAGACTGCCTGGCTGGTGGGTGATAACCAGCCCAAATATTCTTGCCAACCAGTGCCACCTGTGGCTCTGCAGGGAAGAGCGGGAGAGAAGAACTCAGGTGCAGGTGGTCATGAAAGGGAGGTTGAGTTGGTAAGGTAACAATTGCCTATGTGAGCTGGGTGCTTTGACCTACTTTTCCTGCAAGACTTGGGTGTTTTTTTTTTTTTGTATGTATGAAGTCCAGTTTAAATATGTCAGTATGTTAACATGAAAGTATGGATTTTAAATATCTGAAAATCAGGAATGCATGCATTATATTGATGAATGTGCCACTTGGTATACCTAATCACCACAAGGAGAAATGTTCAGAATAGTGTAGCCTTCCATTTCTGCATATTATTCCTGTCCCACATTCAGAGATTCATATCTTTGAAAAATGAAAAGAGTGGACATGTTTTCCATGTTTGATTATTTGTACCTTGACACTTAGTGTAATTACTAGTATTAATTTTGTCACTTTTTCTTCTTAGCTCTGCTACCCTTAACTAGCAGCTGAACAGTGATAGTGAAGTAGCCCTCAGAAGACTTGATTACAATACTTTGCTTATAAAAGTAGCTTCTTAAATTTTATGTTTAACTTCTTATCAATACTAGTTTCTAAAGGGGCTTATTTTATCTTTTTTTTTAACCTAGGAAATACTATAAGTTTGAATAATTTTTGTAGTTTTGTTTTCTAGTACAGGTTAGCATCCCTATTCTGAAAGTTTGAAATCCAAAATGCTCCAAAATCTAAAACTTTTTGAGTGTCAAATGATGCTACAGGTATAAAATTTCACACTTGACCTCATGTGATAGGTTGCAGTCATGCACACAATTATTAAAAATACTGTATAAAATTACTTTCAGGCTCTGTATATAAAGGTATATATGAAACAAATGAATTTTGTGTTTAGTCTTGGGTCATGTCCCCAATATATTTCATGTATGTGCAAATATTCCAAAATCCAAAAAAAATACAAAATCTGAAACACTTCTTGTCTCATGCATTTTGGAAAAAGGATATTCCACCTGTAGCTACTCTTTGTTAATCTTAACAAAAAATACAGCTTTTTGTATATGTCTGAGTTAACAGAGTGATTTCTAATCATCATTATGGTGATAATCAGATAAGAGAGTGCTTTTGAATCTTTTTTTTTTTGGGGCGGAGTCTCGCTCTGTCACCAGGCTGGAGTACAGTGGTGCGATCTTGGCTCTCTGCAACCTCTGCCTCCCGGGTTCAAGGTATTCTCCTGCCTCAGTCTCTCGAGCAGCTGGGACTACAGGCGAGCCCCACCACACCCAGCTAATTTTTGTATTTTTAGTAGAGACAGGGTTTCACCATGTTGGCCAGGATGGTCTCATTCTTGACCTTGTGATCCGCCAGCCTCGGCCTCCCAAGGTGCTGGGATTACAGGCGTGAGCCATCGCATCCGGGCAAGAGAGTGCTTTTGACCTGACTTTTAAGGAAACATGGTAATATTTATTAAGAAGTAGATAGAATAAGTTAGCATACTGGAAAGGATTTCAGGGACCCAGTGGCAATGTGACCTGTTGATTATTATGGAACTGACCTAGGCCAAGCCTCACAGTCTGATCTTTGTTTTCAGAATAGGCAAGGGGGCTGACTTTGGGTCTTTTCTTTGTTTTTACTTTGTTTTAGTACTGAGCTGGCAGAAAAAGCAGTTCATGGGCAGTGCCAACACCATTATTCAGACCCCATTCTTTTTAGTTCCAAGCCCCTTGTTTATTTTCTGCTTTTCCAAAGTGGTTCTTCAATTTCTGTATTTTAGTTGACTTGTAAGACAAAGGGTTTACCTAACTGTAATGCCTATAGGCATTTTGTCAGAGATATTTTGTCAGGAATATTACCTGAATACTTGGAATTTTAATCTTGAAGAGAGCCAATTGGCTTATGTCCTGGAGAGAGCACTTTGGAGTCATGGAGTTGTGAGATCTGGTCCTGCCTCTGTTATTTGATTGAGTCTATTTTCTAGGTCTTTGGTTATCTCATCTTACCAAGCATGGTTGTAGTGATTATTGAATGAAGTAGAGTATTTAATTTCTTAGCACAATAAGAGATAGTTACTTTTGCTGTGAGACATTGTTTTTCTAAATTCATAATTTGCTGTTCATGAACAGAGGCAGATAGACTACAGAAATTGTGGTAGTATTTCTCTAGTGCTTCAGATTTTAGTAGGTGTTGTACTAAATAAATAATGAGGATGATAATAATAAATAACATAAAAATAAAAAATTGAGTGGCTAGATGTCTTTGGGAAATACTATGTATCTTCCTTTTGGGGATTTACTAGGCATATTAATGTATTAAAGGGTTTGAAGAATTCTGCTGTAAACAACATTCCTTCTTAAAAAGAGGTAAATTGAATTGATTATTAAGCCCTTCCTGTGAGATCACTGATTTTAAAGAATACTGGTATTCCATGTAACATGTTTTGTGAAGCACTGCTGTAGGGTAATACTTTTTTTTTTGTATTTTTAGTAGAGTGTAAGGTAATACTTTTTAAGATGAGTTGGTGATAAATTTCTAAAAAGCAAGAAGCATTTCAAGATATATAGGTAGTACTAACTGAATCAGTGGCAGTTAATGCTTGCAGTGGAAATTTCTGAACTTTATTTTTATTTTTATTTATTTTTTTTGAGACGGAGTTTCACTTGGTCACCCAGGCTGGAGTGCAATGGCGTGATCTTGGCTCTCTGCAACCTCCGCCTCTCTGGTTCGAACTGTTTTAGTGCCTCAGCCTCCTGAGTAGTTGGGACTACAGGCACATGCCACCACACCCGGCTCATTTTTGTATTTTTGGTAGAGGCGGGGTTTCACCATGTTGGCCAGGTTAGTCTTGAACTTGTGACCTCAGGTGATCCACCTGCCTTGGCCTCCCAAAGTGTTGGGATTATAGGCGTGAGCCACTGGGCCCGGCCAAATTTGTGAACTTTTTTTTTTTTTTTTGAGGGGTTGTTTCACTCTTGTTGCCCAGGCTGGAGTACAATGGCGCAATCTCAGCTCACTGTAACCTCCACCTCCCGGGTTCAAGCGATTCTCCTGCCTCAGTCTCCCTAGTAGCTGGGATTATAGGTGGATGCCACAAAGCCTAGCTAATTTTTGTATTTTTAGTAGAGATGGGGTTTCACCATGTTGGTCAGGCTGTTCTTGAATTCCTGACCTCAGGTGATCCTCCTGCCTGGGCCTCCCAAAGTGCTGAGATTACAGGTGTGAGCCACTGCGCCTGGCCTTTGTGAACTTTTTTTTTTTTTTTTTTTGAGATGGAGTCTTGCTCTATTGCCCAGGCTGGAGTGCAGTGGCGTGATCTCGGCTCACTGCAGGCTCTGCCTCCTGGGTTCATGCCATTCTCCTGCCTCAGCCTCCCGAGTAACTGGGACTACAGGCACCTGCCACCACGCCTGGCTAACTTTGTATTTTTAATAGAGACAGGGTTTCACCGTGTTAGCCAGGATGGTCTTGATCTCCTGACCTTGTGATCCACCCGCCTCGGCCTCCCAAAGTGCTGGGATTACAGGCGTGAGCCACCGTGCCCGGCCTTTTTTTTTTTTTTTTTTTTGAGACAGAGTCTTGCTCCGTTGCCCAGGTTGGAATGCAGTGGCGCGATCTTGGCTCACTGCAACCTCTGCCTCCTGGGTTCAAGTGATTCTCCTGCCTCAGCCTCCCGAGTAGCTGGGATTACAGACGTCTGCTACCGTGCCTGGCTAAGTTTTGTATTTTTAGTAGAGATGGGATTTCACCATCTTGGCCAGGCTGGTCTCGAACTCCTGACCTCGTGATCCACCCTCCTCGGCCTCCCAAAGTGCTGGGATTACAGGCTTGAGCCATCGTGTCTGGCCCTTTGTGAACTTTTAATGAAAACAGTCACTGTTTTAAATTCCAACTTTTGTGGAATTTATTGGTTGAACTTTGTGACAAACTCTCTTGAAATTTATCCAGAGAAAAATTACTGAGTTGCTAGCTCAGTTTTATTTATTGTCAGTATGGTTATATTCTTCCCTCAGATTTCTGATTGATACTCTTATTTTTCATTAACTTTTCAGTCACGGAAGATAATTACACAGAAAGAATTGTTACTCATGGATTTTTGCACTCAATTCACATTATCCTAGCCATTTTGTGGTTTTCGTTTCCGTTTTGGGGGACACATTTGTGAAGTATTTAAATGAGATGACACATTCGGGAATACTGAATCCCTAATAGTGGGGTACCAAGTGGTTGAAGTTGGTAATGTATTTGGGAAGTGATTGTATTTTTATAATGCAGTTGCGTAGGAATCAGACCTAGTATATTCTCCATTGTACTGCAGTACCTGGCAGCAGAGTAGGCACTAATATGTGTTGAATGAGTAGGTGAAATAAACAAAAACCTAATGGCGATGGAATTTTATGGAAATAAGTAAACTTCATTATTGCTGAAAATACCGCAGATAAATAGAGGGAGGCAGTGTAATAGAGTGGAAAGAGCAGTAGACCAGGAGTCAGACAGTCGAGGATCTCATTCTAAATTTGAAGGTGAATAGCCATGTGGCTTTAGACAGGACTCTGAACCACCTTGTTTTCTTATCTGTAAAAGGGGAAGTCATAATAGCTACTCCTGCCTAACTCATAGGTTGTTGAGAAAATGAAGTGATTCATTAATATAAAATTCTTCGCAAATGTAAATGTACAGAGTCAAATTTTCCCTATGCCTAGCGCAGTGCCTTGAACAGTATTAGCACAGATATAGACTGTTAATAATAAAAAGGAGGCTAAAAAACAAGAGTTTAAAACAATTCTTGGAGTGTTCACAGAATACCAGGGGGCAGAAGGATGAAGAATAACCTACAAAAGAGAAGCAAAAGCACCAAAGAGGAAAGAGAATCAGGGAAGTATAACCCTGTGCTTTTAAGACACAGTTTTCACTAAGCTTTAGGCTTGTCAGGTAATACCTAAGTAGCTTTTGATTTGATTTTCCAAACCCTGTCTAAATTTCCTCCTTCACTGTGAAGTATTTGGTGGGTACAGAGTAGTTCCTTTTGTAAGCCTAAAATTAAAGACCTTCACTTAGGTAGTTTAAGTATACTTCAACTTTGATTTTCTGTATATTGCATAATAATCATGAGTTACTGTTGTTACCAAAACACCAGGGGTTCCGTCTAGGTCCTGCTGCTTGTCACACAGAAAGCAATCTCTGAGACAATGAGTATTGCTAAGGAAGCCGGCTTTAATCAGGTGTTGCAGTCAAGGAGATGTCTCAGATCCATTTCCCTGACTGACTAAAATTAGGAGTTTATATAGCAGGGAGAAAATGTGATTATCTATGGGAAAACAGGAACTACAGAGGGTTAAGGAAGCAATTGTGATGGATGAGAGGTCTGGCATCTCATTGTTTGGATGCAGTGATCTGGTGAATTTCAGTTTATTTAATATTGTAAAAGGAAAATAAATCTTGAGGCCCCCAAATAACTAAGCTAAAGGTGAAAGTCAAGTTGGGAACTGCTTAGGGCCAACCTGCCTCCCATTCTCTTCAAAGTCACCCCTCGGCTCACTGAGATAACCATTAATACATACCAGATTGCCTCATTTGGAGAAGCGAATCAGAAACTCAAAAGGATACAGCCATTTGTCTTTTAACTACCTGTGACCTGAAAGCCCCCTCCCCACGTCGAGTTGTCCCACCTTTCTGGACTGAACCAGTGTACATCTTACACGTATTTATTCATGTCTTATGTCTCCCTAAAATGTATAAAATCAAGCTGTGCCCCTACCACCTTGGGCACATGTTGTCAGGATCTCCTGAGGCTGTGTTACCGGTGCGGATCCTCAACCTTAGCAAAATGAACTTTCTAAAGTAACTAAGACCTGTCTCAGATATTCGGGGTTCACAATATTAATACTTTTTGAGAGGCCTGAGGGCCCTTTCCTGAAGAAGGAACTCTGATAAAACAAATGTTAAGTTTCAAGCTTTAATACCAGAAGGGTCAGTTTCCATGTTTATCCAAAAAAACTGTCCGTGGGACCATTGGGTCAGTTTCACTTTTATTATCATGAAGACATTAAGAGCCTTACATCACTAAACCATGACTGGTTGACTGCTTTTGGGATGCCACTTTGCTCTGCACAGTGAGGATTCAGTGTCATGGGAAGGATCTAGGATGAAGTGTTTCCCAATCTTTTGCTTAGCACTCTACTGTTATCTGAGGTATGGAAATATGTTTGGGAAATACACCCTCCTTCACTCTGCACTCCCCTCCCACCCCACCACTGTGTACCACTAGACTATGAGCTCCAGGAGGAAAGGGACTTGCTCACCATTGTAATCCAGCACATAGATGTATGTAAACCACTAAGAGGACGGCTGAGAAATAATAATCAAATTGGTTATTTCTGATAAGATGGTTTTAATATTGTGGCTATTGTTAGGGGATGGCTAATGTGTTTTTGTTTATGCAGTACACATGTATTTGATTTCCAGGACTGGCTCATCTGAAGAAAACCAAAATGTGGTACTTCTAATATGTACACCAAACTAAGAAATAAGTTATTCTGTCTCAAAAAGATCATTTGCTTATATTAAGGAAGATTATTTAAAATACTTAAGATATCTGAATATATTTATAAATTCAGGAAATGTATTAAGCTGAGAAAAACATAAATTGTGAAATTTAAAGTACATTTGAATAGACCTTGCTGTGAGTGATCATGTGCTATTTTTGGGGGGTGGATTATTAGTGGATTGGTTATCCATGACTTTTCTTCTCAATACATTTCATAAAAATGTAAGAACGGCGGGGCGCAGTGGCTCACGCCTGTAATCCCAGCACTTTGGGAGGCTGAGACGGGCAGATCACGAGGTCAAGAGATTGAGACCATCCTGGCCAACATGGTGAAACCTTGTCTCTACTAAAAATACAAAAATTCGCTGGGCATGGTAGCACATGCCTGTAGTCCCAGGTACTCGGGAGGCTGAGGCAGGAGAATCACTTGAACACAGGAGGTGGAGGTTGCAGTGAGCCAAGATCGCGCCACTGCACTCCAGCTTGGGTGACAGAGCAAGACTCTGTCTCAAAAAAAAAAAAAAAAAAAAAAAAAAGAAACACTTATAAGAAGCAAAATTAGTCATACTATGTGAAATACTATACTTTTGGAAAGGTGTGTGAGGGGACAGGCTGGTATTTGAAAGTAATAGCTAAAATCAAAGATTTGAATAATGTATAGTTGTTAGTTACCTGTTATAGTCTCTTATACTGAATCTGTGTTGTCTAATTTGGTAGCCATTAACCACATGTAGCTATTTTGATTTAAATTTAAATTAAGGCTTACAGTGGTTCTCACTTATAATCCTAGCACTGTGGGAGGCTGAGGCGGGAGGATTGCTTGATCCCAGGAATTTGAGAGCAGCCTGGGCAACATAGGGAGACCCCCATCTCTACCAAAAAAAAAAAAAAGTGTATATATGTGTGTGTGTGTGTGTGTGTGTGTGTGTGTGTGTGTGTGTATGCCGACTGTGGTGTGCCTATAGTTCCAGCTACACAAGAGGCTGAGGTGGGAGGATCAGTTGAGTCCAGGAGTTTGAGGCTGCAGTGAGCTATGATCATGCCATGGCACTCTAGCCTAGGTGACAGAGTGAGACCCTGTCTCTTTAATACAAAAATTTTTTTGAATTAATTTAAATGAAATAAAATTAATGTAGTTTCTCAAAGTAGCCATATTTCAGTGGCTCAGTAGCCACACACATGTGGCTAGTGGTGGCTGTGTTGAACACTGCAAATAGAGAACCTTTTTTTCCGTTATCACAGAAAGTTCTATTGCATAGCACTGTAGTATAAATTAATGACAATTACTACAAGATTTCACCAAGTTTATATATTCTGAAAGTTGGAGAATAGAGTGCAAGATATTTGTTCTCTGGAATTCTTAGGTGGGACCTTTTACAATGGTTAACCTGTCTGGTAGGGGACAGGAAACTTTTAAATTATAGAGTTCTTGCTGTGTCCTTATTTGTTGTTCACAACAGCCAGGCCAGGCAGTTAGTATTATCTCCGTTTTATCGATGAGATCAAACCTGTAAGAGGAACTGTAATTTGAACCAAGGTTTGTCTGACTTTACATCCTCTATTTTTTGTTCTTATTTTGGACTTTAGGGGTGTTGCTGAATGGATTATAATCCCTAGTTCATGGTGTATTGTCATTAGATATCAAAGACCCTTTTCTTCCTCACACTCCTAGGCAACCATTTTAATGTGTGTTTGATTTATCTTTTTTTAAAATTTTTTTTAAAGTGAAAGCAAGTTTATTAAGAAAGTAAGGGAATAAAGAATGGCTACTCCATAGGCAGAACAGCCTGATTTATCTTTTTGTTTATTTTTGCAAAATACACCATTGTAGCTTCAAAACCGTTAATTTGACACTTACATGGATGGTACCGTATTATGTAATCTAATGTGAGATTTTCCTAATTTAGGATGCTGTTTGATGATTTAAACACCTAGCCTTTTCAAAAGTTTTGTGAAAAAAATCTTTTTACCTGGTGTTAGACTTTTTGGCCTTTGTCATCAGGGAAGTCTGAAGGAATCTCTCCTTTTCCTCTTTGCTTAGGGAGTATTGATAGAAGGATTATTTGTCCCTGAATGTTTGTAAATAATTTATATTACTTTTGTTTTCTTCATCATAGGTAGCCAGTGATTACTTCTCATACTTCTCACATGTTGTGTCCGAGCATTGTAGCTGCTTTTTTTTAATTGAAAGTTTTATTGTGCTAATTGTAGATTCATATACAGTTGTAAGAAATAATGTAGGGAGATCCCTTGTACACTTTGCCTAAGTGCAGCTGCTTTTTATGCTTCTAATTTGTATATAGGCTTGCTGGGAAGGGGAGATGTGAACAAACTTGTTAGAATTATGTTAATTAAGTAAGAGTAAAGGCCAGATGCTTTTTCTTAAGAATGTAGTGAATATATGAACTTTAGCATGTGGACTTACTTTTAGCTGTTTTTTTGCTTAATTTTTAGTATTGTTAAAATAACATTTTTAGCCAAATTAAATTTAACAGAGTTTAATTGAGCAAAGAATGATTCACAAATTGGTCAGCCTCCTCAGCCAGTGTAGGTCCAGAGAGACTCCAGCGCAACCATGTGGTGGAAGATTTATGGACAGAAAAAGGAAAGTGATGTACAGAAAAGGAAACTGAAACAGCTGTATTGGTTCCAACTAAGCATTTGCCTTATTTGAACACTGTTTGAACAGTTGGCTCTCTTTGGCCAAAACTTGGTGATTGGCGCCAGAGTAGGTTACAGTCTTTACACATCTATTTACATATCTATTTCTCTTTCATTATGTACAGAGAAACTTTTAGGCCAAACTTAAAATATGTAGCCTAAGGGAGGTAACTTTAGGTTAAACTTGATTTAACAGTATGAATTTCAGATAGTGAAGTTATTATATAGCTGAGTTTTGGATAAATGATATAGTGTTTATTTTTTTAAGCAAATTGAATTTTTCATACAAATACTATTGGAAGTTAATTATACAAATATGAAATCTTAAATTTTGATAATGATTAGAGATTTCTATGTATGTTTTGTTTTAGGTTGTTTCACGAAGAAATCCAGAGGATGTCCAGGAGGTAACATTTATATGAAGATTTTATTTTATGTATTTGATAAAAATTTAACTAAATGCTTTTTTGAGGAAATTGCCTGAATCATTTGTACATCAACCTCTTTTTTTTGAGACGGAGTTTCGCTCCTGTTGCTCAGGCTGGAGTGCAGTGGCGCAATCTCGGCTCACTGCAACCTCTGCCTCCTGGGTTCAAGTGATTCTCCTGCCTCTGCCTCCCGAGTAGCTGGAATTACAGGCATCTGCCACCACACTCAGCTATTTTTGTATTTTTAGTAGAGATGGGGTTTTACCACGTTGGCCAGGCTGGTCTCGAATTCCTGACCTCAGGTGATCCACCTGCCTCAGCCTCCCAAAGTGCTGGGATTACAGACGTGAGCCACTGTGCCTGGCCTGTACATCAGTCTTTATATGTTTGCGTGAAGATTGTCTTCATTTCACAAAACAGTAGCTGAAGTGTCCTATTTGAGACCTACTAAGTAATTGTTAAGTTTTAGTAGGTGTTAAGTTATATAAATAAGAATTTAATGAATTATGGTGCTGTTTACTAAGTGATCATTGTTCTGGTAACTAGTGTTTACAAGATTTCAGTATCACTTAAGGGCCCCTATTTACCCATTTCAAGATCATAATGCCTGTGTAATAAAAAGTATTTGGTAACTAATATTTATTTTAAAGATTCTAACAGTAAATTATGGGTCTCTGCCTACTTTCACTTTTAGATTGAATTGACATGTTGACATCTTGGAAAACTGCTTTAGGCATAGATATTTCTTTTTTTTTAAACTTTAAGTTAGTAAGTTCTTTTGCAGATTCTTCTGTGCATTTTTTCATTTTTTTTCCTTCTTTCTATAATGGTACCAGCCTGTTATGTTTTGCTTAAAATTGTGGAATTCTCTATTTGTATTTACTTTGTGCTTGTTGTGTATCTTTAGGAATCCTTACTGAGGAGCTTGCTGCTTTGAATGTTTCTTGATTTATTTTCATTTTAGTCCCTGCTCAATTTCACTAAGACTAGAAGGACATATATCAGGATTTTTTCCGCCTCCCTAATGTGTTTAAAACAGATACTTTAAGTTTACAGTCCTGATTCTGCAACAGTATTGTTTTTTTTTTTTCCACAATTAAATATGAATGTCTTTGGGTGGTAGGTTGTTTCTGTTTAGCCACGGGTCCCACTACTCTACAGAAAATACCTGGCTTGATTCATACATTTAAGGTGACTGTTTGGTACTGGTTGATATGAGTGTATGGCCCCAGGTTTAGATAATATTTAAATTTTATACATTATCATTTCTGGCTATGTCTGATTTCATAGTTGTTTTTGTCCTATGATTTAAAACAGATATATTTTTATACAAAAATTAGCTGGGCATGGTGGCAGGCACCTGTAATCCCATCTACTTGGGAGGCTGAGGTAGGAGAACTGCTTGAACCTGGGAGGCAGAGGTTGCAGTGAGCTGAGATTGCACCACTGCACTCCAGCCTGAGCAACAGAGTGAGACTCTGTCTCAAAAAAAAAAAAAAATAGATTTAATACTATTTTCCTGATGGGTTTTAAGACAATTCATTCCCTACCAGGAAACAGAAAGAATATTGTAATATTGTTATTTTGAAAGAAAAAAATGTATACATACATATATATGTATCAGTGAAAGTAATTTGCACCATTGATTAAAGTACTTTTCTGTCTTTACTTGTATCAATTGATGAGTGTGAACTATTCTTTAGATTTCTAGTTTACAACTCTTAAAATTGAAAATGGGTGTATTTCCTTTGAATGCATTGTCTGATTGCTGTGCTGTAGTTTGTAGCTTGATGTTCCCATTTTCCAGGGAGAATCCTGAACCAACCTATCCATGAACATACTCTCTGCCATTTTCTTAGTCCTTTTTTCGGGAAAACTCTTTTATAATAACAACTGTTGGTGAACCATTCATCTGAAAACTCTTGTAAGTGTCTTTTAGTTAGACAATTGCATGGTTCTTTGTTAGAAGTGGTATAAATTTTTAAAAGTTTTCTATTTAGTTGGCTTCTTAAAATATAGAATAATCTTGAAATTATAACAGTACTTTTTTTAGTTTCCCACTTAGTGTATTTAAACATTAGAATTCTCATTTGGGAGAGGAATTCACCACTTAGAGTTTGTTTTTCACTTCCTTTCACTTTCCCTCTCCATTAACTTATTCATTTGTTACTGCTTTAGACTATATAGTAAAGCTTCACAAGGGCTATTGAGGACTAGATGTACTGATAGTTTAACAAAATGTAGGGCTAGTAATACGCTAGCCTTATAAAATAGGAGAAATTTTGTTGTTTTTCTTTTATATATACCTTGGCACATGCCACCACATCAGTGTTTTCTTCCTAAGAATGCTAAAAGATCTGTGGCCTGTCATTCAGTAGATTGTGTAGAACATGAATAGACAGCAGAAAAGTGAAGAAGAGATGGTTTTGCTCCCCCTCACCCTTTTTTAAACAAATTAACCTGTACCTGTTTCTCTCTACAGGTAGGATATTTCACTGGTGAAATTTGGGAAAGGAAAAGAACTGAAACAGGACTTTCTATGTATTATGTCAGAAATCTCTAACTTTTAAATCCTTTTTTAAAAAATAGTTTTATTATTTATTTATTATTTATATTATTTATTTATTTCTTGAGATGGAGTCTCGCTCTGTCACCCAGACTGGAGTGCAGTGGCATGATCTTGGCTCACTGCAACCTCGGCCTCCCGGGCTCAAGTGATTCTCCTGCCTCAGCCTCCTGAATAGCTGGGACTACAGGTGCCCACCACCACACCTGGCTGATTTTTGTATTTTTAGTAGAGACGGGGTTTTACCATGTTGGCCAGGCAGGTCTCAAACTCCTGACCTCAGGCGATCTGCTCATCTCGGCCTCCCAAAATGCTGTGATTACAAGCGTGAGAAAAAATCATTTTAGAAAATAGGTACACACTCAGAAATATATCGGGAAAGGAAAGGCTCTTGAAAAGAGGGAAAATAAAATCCATAAGCAAATAGTGTGGTAGTGATGTTGGTTGTAAGAAGAGATAATCCAGCAAATTTTAAATATTAAAACTATGTGAGCGTGAAAAGGACAAAGTTAATTCAATTGGTGGTTCTGTAAAATACAGGAATCTAAAAAGTTTTTGGTGTTATTAAGTGTAATTATCTGAAAAGGAAACATTTATGTAGAAAATATTTAAGGGAATGTTTTTAAAATTAAGCTTTTATTTGTATGTTTTATATGGTTGTCACTGAATTAATATTTCATTGAGACATTTTCTTCAGAGTGACTTTAATAAATAAGAAACTTATGGAGACTTGGTTCAATAAAGAAAGAGGTTGTTATAGACCTATTTTTTCAATGGGAAAGTATTGAACATTAATTAGAGAAAATAATTTCTAAATGTGTCTCTGAGGACTTTGTGTAGTCCAGATATGAACATCAGTACTTGCTGTTGTAGTGGAAGTATATCTTTGTTCACTTTTGTATTTTGAAGATTTCTGGAAACCTCAGAACTTAGAAGGAGTAAGAAGAAAAGGAGGCAGTGGATGTGACATTTTGCGATGCTGTTAGGTATTTTGGTTCTGCAGCCCTAGAGTTGAGAAGAAGGAATATAGGATTGAATAAATTAGGGCATGGTGAAGAAACACAGATTCTCACCTGGGGGGTTCTAATTCTTGCTCTGACAGACTATCTACTGGTTCATATACCATGGTATTTTAATAATTATTATGATTAAATTGTTAAATTTTGCTCCTTAAGTTTGTCTTGCAGTATTTAAAAATGACTTAACTAGAATAAATTTTTTTTTTTTTTTTTTTTTTTTTTTTTTACGGAGTCTCGCTCTGTCACCCAGGCTGGAGTGCAGTGGCATGATCTCAGCTCACTGCAAACTCCGCCTCCCGGGTTCATGCCGTTCTCCTGCCTCAGCCTCCCTAGTGCTGGGACTTCAGGCACCCACCACCACGTCCAGCTAATTTTTTGTATTTTTTGTAGAGATGGGGTTTCATTGTGTTAGCCAGGATGGTCTCAATCTCCTGACCTCATGATCCGCCCGCCTTGGCCTCCCAAAGTGCTGGGATTACAGGCGTGAGCCACCACGCCCGGCCTAGAATAAAAATTTTATCTGCAAATCTAATTGTTTCCATGAGCTACAGTCTTTTGAATAACTCATGTCCAGGTCATAATGACCTTAACCTTACGTAATGTCCAGTTTATAATGACATTTACCTTATATAAGGTACTGCTTACATAAGCCCATCAACCATTTCTCCTTTAATTCCTTGGCAATGTCGTATGATTGTAATTTGATATATTTTTAAAATATAAAAATAACAATTTTTTGTTCCCATCATTTCATTGTTAGAATCCTCACATCTCACTGCGTATGCTGAGAAACCTTTCCTGAGTGATTACTGCCTATCTGCTACTGATCTTTTAATCTACAAGCTAATAGATCCTGCTCAGTTTTTGCTCTTCAACCCTAAACCTATCTCACTGAACAGCTCCAAGCAGCTCCCTCACGAGCTCCTAAGTCAAATGTGTTGAAAATTGAACCTCTTTCTTGCCTCAGAACTGCTGCTGCTTCCTTAGTGTTCACTTCAGGGCATGGCACCACCATTCTGTAGCAAAACTTGCTACACAGCTATTTATTCTTCAGTGTTCTTCAGTTTATTTATCATTTTAGGCAAATACTGAGTATGTACTTTTGTTTAAAAATTGCCTAAATTAATTGTCTTCATTTAGTAATACATACTTAGCATCTCACTCTTCTTTTAGAAACTTCACCCCCGGTGCCCTCCCCTTTTATTTTATTTTTGTCAGTCTACTGACCACTTCCCTTCAGGACTCTCTAAGGTAGTACTTTTTGTGAAGCCTTCTCAGACATACAAGGCTGATTTAGGTACTACATCTACAGCACTCTTGGACTGCCCCTCTCAGCATTTTTCAAGCCGTCTTATGATGATGTTGTCTTGTGATGTGTTGGCTTATTCTTCCTAACTAGACTGTGAACTCTTTGAAGGCAGGACCTGTATTTCCCTTCTCTTCATACTTTGTAAGAATATGATGCTTAGTGGAAAGTAGGGCCATAGAAATATTTGTTTGGTGACTCTTTTTGTTGTTGAGTAAATGAACAGGGAACATCAGGAGGAACAAGGGAAGCATCAGGAGGAAGCAGTTTTTAAAAATTAATTCATATTATAGTCTGCCTAGCCTCCTAGGATTATAACTGTATTAAAAACAATAAACATTAATTAAGGTAGAATTTTTGGCAGCATGAAAAAGTTTGCTGAAGAGTTTTATACATACAGAGGGTAGGTTTTTTGGCAGGAATCTCTTAAATCACACCTGGTTACCTGCTTGACCTGTTATTTGCTCATTAGCATTATACTCTATTGTATATGAAAAACTTGTTAGAAAACTTTGTTAGAACTGAGATGATTAAGTTTTTCAGAAGACCCCAGTATCTGAAGTAATGGGATTTAAAACTCAATTTTACTCTATTTTCTAGAGATTGAGGGGCTGAATCTGTGATATCAAGGCCATGTTTCAAATCCTTTTTCTTTACAAAGTGGTTTTTTTTTTTAGATATAATCTGAGTAAGGTTAAATAATAATTCAGACTAATGAAGGAAAACACACTTTTTTACATGTCGTCTAATCTAGATGATATTTTGTTTTTTAAAAATATACTAATTTTAATGATGTTCTGGTCAGGATTCAGCTTGCCTGCAGACATCTTATTACTAGTGTGAATTAAGATTTATGACATGAAAGTCCATGTTAATTGCTTGCTGCATAGCTACTTCTTCAGTGTTACTCAGTTTATCCTTTTTTTTTTTTTTGAGACAAGAGTCTTACTCTGTTGCTGAGGCTGGAGTGCAGTGGCACTGTGTCGGCTCACTGCAACCTCTGTCTCCTGGGTTTAAGCAGTTCTCCTGCCTCAGCCCCCCGAGTAGCTGGGATTACAGGCGTCCACCACCACACCCTGCTAGTTTTTATATTTTCAGTAGAGATGGGGTTTCACCATGTTGGCCAGGCTGGTCTTGAACTCCTGAGCTCAGGTGATCCACCTGCCTTGGCCTCCCAGAGTGCTGGGATTATAGGCGTGAACCACTGCGCCCGGCCAGTTTATCCTTTTAGGCAAATACCGAGTATGTACTTTTGTTTAAAAATTGCCTAAATTAATTATTTTGTCTTTATAAATACATTATTTTGAGAAAGGATACATGTTTTGACATCTAACTCATTTGCAGGCCAATTGTAATTGGTTTTTGAAGAGATGAAGTGACATTTTATATAGTATAAATCTTCTCCATACTGGGTTGAATATTTTTCCAGTATGAATAAAACCATACTTGTTTAAAATGAAAATTTGAAACCAAAACAGAATAGTTTGAGGAAGAATTGCCGCTTTATATGTAATATATTTTTACTTTATTTTATTTTATATTATTTTCCTGGTCAGCAGGAATCTGCCTTATATTTTTAAAGCAAATATTATTAGTTAATTTCAGTCAGTTAATCATATTGTTTAGGACATGTGTTTGCCTTTGCATGACAATTTTGAACACTTTAATGAAAGGATTATTTGTTGTTCAGATATCTGAACCTAAATGGTTATGAGATACATGTTTAATTTTTTTCTCTCTAGATAATTGTATGGAAGAGATACAGTGATTTTAAGAAACTACACAAAGAACTATGGCAAATTCACAAAAACTTATTCCGACATTCAGAGTTGTTTCCTCCATTTGCTAAAGGAATAGTGTTTGGTAAGTGATTATTTTGAAATTGTAATTTAAAAAAATAATTAATTTTGTATATATACTGAACTCTAACATAACTACACTATGAAGTCAGAAGCCCTTTTACTTATTGAGATAATTCATATTGTTCAACAGCACTTGAAATTGTCTTTTCTTGTTCTTGTTATAGTTTTGTGTACCCAGAATATATTTACTCTTCCTATCTATGAAACAAAACAACTTCAGTTCCAACCAACCAAATAAAAAACCCTGTAGGAACATAAGAAAAGGTGATATTCAGTTATTCTTATAGTTTTAAAATTCTTTCTTTTTTTAAATTAAGTCTCATTTTGTATGTTTCCCTGACACTTTGCTTATAGTATGAATGGTGTGGTTTTCTAGTATTTGCTTCTTGCAACTTCTTTTTGATACCTTAGTATTCTTTTTTTTTTTTTTTTGCCTCATCAGTTTTCAAATACCTAGGTAACAGTATTTTATATTAAAGTTTCTGTGTCAAAATAATTGGTGTAGTTTCTGTCCCCTGTCTGGATTTTGACTGGAAGTATAGAATATTCATGTTTTTTTTCTATAACTCTAACGTAAATGTTCTTATATGGACAGAATTTTTTTGAAATGGAGTCTCATTCTGTCACCTAGGCTGGAGTATAGTGGCACGATCTTGGCTTACTGCAGCCTCCACCTCCTGGGTTCAAGTGATTCTCCCGCCTCAGCCTCCTGAGTAGTTGGGATTACAGGCGTCTGCCACCACACCTGGCTAATTTTTGTATTTTTAGTAGAGATGAGGTTTCACCATGTTGGCCAGGCTGGTCTCAAACTACTGACCTCAAGTGGTCCGCCCGCCTTGACCTCCCAAAGTGCTGGGATTACAGGCATGAGCCACTGTGCCCGGGCCAGAACATTTTATCCTATTACTTTTTGCAACCAATTTCTGCATATGTAATTGCAGAGTCAAGGTATATGCACATTTATTTTTCAAACTAGACAATTTTTTTTCAGGTTATGAAAGTAGTATATGCAAATAACTCAGGTGGTACAGAAAAATACTTAAAACGTAAAGAGAAATTCAGCAATAATACCATCTCCTAGATAGTATAATATTTTGGCATATTATTCTAGACTCTGTATCAGTGTGTGTGTATGGTGTATTTTTGTGCTTATTAATATGTATATGCCTTTTTACCCATCTATGTATAGAAACCTCAAAAATGGAATCTTGCTATGTATGATTTTGTAACCTGGTTTTATATAACAGTATATATATTTTTTCTTTATTTTTTATATGACAGTATATTATGATTGTCTTTTCATGTCAATAAAAAGATCTACATTACTAATTTTAATATGTACATAGTATTCCAGTTTTTGAACTGATTTATTAACCAATCTTTTACTGGTATATTACTTTTGGCCTTTTGCTGTTACAAATAACACTGCAGTTACTATTCTTGTTCATACATTACTGTGCAGGTGTACAGTAGGGTGAATTCCTGGGAGAAGAATTACTCAGTCAAGGGGTCTGCATATTTTTGAGACTTTTGATGCATATTGTCTCATTGTTTTAAATAATTGTAACATCATTTTCCTTTATACATTGGAATAACTTTTAAATTATTATTATTATTTTTTGAGACAGAGTATCACTCTGTCACCTAGGCTGGAGTACAGTGGTGTGATCTTGCTCACTGTAGCCTTGACTTCCTGGGCTCAGGTGATTCTCCTTCCTTGGCTTCCCAGGTAGCTGGGACCATAGGTGCACACCACCATGCCTGGCTAATTTTTCTATTTTTTGTAGAAATGGGGTTTCACCACATTTCCCAGGCTGGTCTTGAACTCCTGGGCTTAAGTGATCTGCCTACCTCAGCCTCCCAAAGTCCTGGGATTACAGTTGTGATCCACCGCGCCTGGCAGATAACTTTTAAAGAGGCATGTGGCTAAGTAAAATAAAAACAAAACACAAAGGTAGTATTGAAGAATGCACGATAAAAACAAGTTTCCTGCTCCTTCCCTCCACCTACTTTTGCTTCTAGACATAACTGAATTTTAATCCTTTTTTTTCAAGTACTTATATCTGTATCTGTAATAAGCTTATACCATTTTTTCTTTTTTTCTTTTTTTTTTTTTTTGAGATGAAATTTCACTCTTGTCACCCAGACTGGAGTGCAGTGGCGTGATCTCGGCTCACTGCAACCTCTGCCTCCTGGGTTCAAGTGATTCTCCTGCCTCAGCCTCCAGAGTAGCTGGAATTACAGACACCTGCCACCACGCCTAGCTAATTTTTTGTATTTTTAGTAGAGACAGAGTTTCGCCATGTTGGACAGGCTGGTCTTGAACTCCTGACCTCAGGTGATCTGGCCTCCTTGGCCTCCCAAAGTGCTGGGATTACAGGCGTGAGCCACTGCGCCTGGCCCATTTTTTCTTGATTTAACAACTTTTACGTATCTATTGACTCACTACTCTGGTGGGTAAGGATTTAGCTTGTTTACCCTGTTTCTCTGTATTATTACATAATATTTTTAGTTCTTCTGTTGACTTTATTTCTCGTTCTGTAAGTGTGGACAATATCATTTGTCTAAGATGATTCTAATAGCATTTTTGATCTTCCTCCTACCTCTTCAGCTCTCTTCACCACTTAACATTTGAAATCTGTGCTTATAGTTTAACATTTGTCAAAGGTGGTAATATTTATATTCTCTTTAATAGTCATAATTAAGCTCGTAATGTATAGAATAATTCTCAAAGCTAGAATGTAATAAACATCATTTATAAAATTATTATTTTTTGAGACAGAGTCTCACTCTGTCACCCTGGGTGGAGTGCAGTGGTGCAGTCCCACAGCCTCCATCTCCTGGGCTCAAGCGATCCTCCCACCTCAGCCCCCCGAGTAGCTGGGACTATAGGCACATGCCACCATGCCAGTCTAATTTTTGTAATTTTTGTAGCAACATGTTTTCACCATTTTGCCCAGGCTGGTCTTTAACACCTGTGCTCAGGCAATCCTCCTGCCTCAGCCTTCCTAAGTGCTGGGATTATAAGCGTGAGCCACCGCACCCTGCCTTATTAACGTTATTATGACAGAGCAAATATTGTTCATTATAACACCAGGTGGTATACCACAATTACATTTTGTTCTGCAAGGTTCAATTGTTACAATTACTGTGCCAACATAAGAAAAATGTGTAAGTGAAGTCTCTGTTTTCCTTATACTACATCAGGGAATTGAAATCATGCCACATTTTAGTTTGCTAAATATTTGGACCATGCCTTTTGTGATAGCCAGCCTCCAAGATAGCCTCCTATGATTCTTTTCTCCTGGTATTCACACCTTTGTGTCTTCCCTTCTGTCTTAGTCTGTGTAGTGTTGCTACAAAGGAATACCCGGGGCTGGGTAACTTATAAAGAAAAGAGGTTTATTTGGCTCATGGTTTTACAGGAGATAAAAGATGCATGGGGCCTCCATCTGCATCTAGGAAGGACCTCAGATTGCTTCCACTCATGGCAGAAGGGGAATGAGAGGCCACCACATGACGAGAGAAGGAAACGAGAGAGAGGAGGAGGTGCCAGGCTTTTTCCAACAGGTTTAGTTCACGGGAACTAAGAGTGAGAACCAGCAAGCCACTCATGAGACATCCATTCCCGTGATCCAAACACCTCACACCAGGCCTCACCTTGAACGTTGGGGATCAAATTTCAACATGAGACTTGATGGGGTCAGACACACCATATCCAAACCATAGCACCTTCCCAGATTGTACTAGGGTTGGTCTGTGTGACCAATAACAAAAGTGATGGTATATCTCATTCCTGAGATTTATTTATAAAAGACTGTGGCATCTCTCTTAAGGTTTTTTTTTTTTTTTTCCTTTCTCTTTCTCATAACTTGCCCTGAGGGATACCAGCTTTTCCTATGGTTAAGAACATTCTGGTAGCCTATGAAGAGGCCCACATGGTGAGGAACAGGGGCATCCAGCCAAAAACTAGTAAGCATGAAGCCTGCCACAGCCATGTGAATGAACTTAGGAGCAGATTCTCCAGTCCCAGTTGAACTTTGAGATGACTACAGCGTTGAATGACAGTTAACAGCAATTTCATGAGGGGCCTGAGCTAGAGCCACCCAGCCAAGCCACTTTTGAATTCCTGACCCTCAGAGACTGAGTGAGATAGTAAATGTTTCTTGTAAGCTACCATGTTTTGGGATAATTTGTTACCCAGCAATAACTACTTAATAGACTTTGTAACAAAACTGAAAATGTGGAGTGGTTTTGAAATGAGCTATGGGCTTTGAGGAGTGTTGGTGAGTGCCTGAAGTGCCTTGAAGAAGTGATTAATTGGGCCCGGCACGGTGGCTCATGCCTGTAATCCCAGCACTTTGGGAGGCGTAGTCGGGCAGATCACGAGGTCAGGAAATCGAAACCATCCTGGCTAACACATTGAAACCCCGTCTCTACTAAAAATACAAAAAAGAAAAAAAAAATTAGCCAGGCGTGGTGGCAGGTGCCTGTAGTCCCAACTACTCAGGCGGCTGAGGCAGGAGAATGGCATGAACCTGGGAGGCAGAGTTTGCAGTGAGCTGAGATCGTGTCACTGCACTCTAGCCTGGGCGACAGAGCGAGACTCCATCCCAAAAAAATAAATAATAAAAAAAAGTAGTGATTAGTTGGAGCCTCATGGTATTCGGTAAGACTGCAAGTGAGGTTTCCCAAAGAAGTTAGGTAAGTGTTACTGGAAACTGGAGGGAAGATCCCTCTTATGTAGTTGCAGAAAGTTTAGCAACACTGTTGCCTACAGTTATGTGGAAAGTTGAAAATGTACTTTGCAAATGAACTGGGTAAGCTAGCTGAAGAGATTTCCACCCAGAGTGTTTACAGTATGGTGCTTCTTGCTGCTCATAGTAAAATGTGAAAGGAGAGAGAGAAACTAAAGGAAGGATTGTTAAACAAAAAGGTCCTAGGACTTGTTTTGAAAATGCTATCTTTCTGGATAGCAGAGAGTACTAAAATTAAGAAATGACTTCTGAGCAAATATGGCCTAAAGATGAAGCCCAGTGTGAAATAAAATGTTTTTTAAGACCTTAGAAAGATTCAGTCAGACCAAATGCTCTCAATAAAGATTAAGGTTGTGCCTTACACATCCTCTCAAATAGTAGGGCTTCGTGGAAGTGTAAGCCTCTGCCAACTCAGCAGAAGCCAAAGCTACAGAAGGGTTTAACTTGAGATTTGTGGCTATCACTTTTGTTTAATTGAGTAAACCCCAATAAGAGTCACAGGTGACCCCCCCACAAAAAAGTTATAAGTAATTATATATGCAGAAACATTGTTAGCTTGGACTGACAAGCAGAAAAGCAGTACAAAGTGAAAAGAGACTTTTGTCTCCCCCAAATTTTACTGGAAGGAAGGCTAAAAACAACCACGAAGCCACACACCTTGCTGTTTTTCACCGAAAAGGAGGTATGACTCAGAGGGTGGAACCAGTAGCTCAGAGGGCAGAGCCATAGCCTTGGAGAATTTATTCCCAGCCTGTGAGCCTTAATCAGAAACTTCCAACATTTGCCCTGCTGGATTTCAGAATTACTATGGACCCATTGACTTCTTTGGGGCTCGCATTTACTCCCCTTTTTGTACAGGAATGTCTATAGCAGTTATTCCATGCCTATCCCACTATTGTGTATTGAGTGGGTAGAGGGGAGGTAACTTGTCTATAGTTTCACAGGTTAGGAAGATTGTACTTAAGGAGCTACACTTAGGGAACGACACCTGAAGAACCTCAGTCACACGTGGATGTGACTTAGATGAGATTCTAGACTTTGAATTGCTGCCATAATGGGATGAGACTTTTGGGGACCTTGGGAGGAGGGTGAGGAGATCTTGTATGTGGGAGGGGTGTGAATCTTTGAGGCCAAAGAGAGGTCTGTGTTGGCCAGCTTCCAAGATGGCCCCCAGTGGTCCCTGTCTCCTGGTGTTTATGTTCTTGTGAAGTCCCTTCCCACACTGAACCAGGATTAGTCTGTATGACTGTTAGCATATGCAGAAGGGATGGTATATCACTTCCAGGATTAGGTTATAAAAAAGACTGTAGCTTCCATCTTGTGTGCTCATGCTCCCACCTCCCCTCCATGTGTCGTTACATGTTTTGGGGAAACTGGTTGCTTTATGGTGAGAACACTCAGGCAGCCTGTGGAGATGAGGGATGTTTCAAACTTACAGAAAGTTGCAAGAAGAAGAATAGTACAAGAACACCTCTATACTTTCCAACCAGATTCACTTATTGTTAAGCTTTTATCCCATTTACTTTATCATTTGCTGGTGTCTCTCTCACTCTTTCTCCTTCCCTCTCTCCCTTTCCCTCTCTTCCTCTGTCTCCTCTCTCTCTCCCTCTTCCCCTTTCTCCCCCAGCACACACATATAAAATATATGCACGTAATTTTACATTATTTTAAGTTTTAATTTCTTAACTTTTCTTTCTTTCTTTTCTAACTTTTTTGAGACAGGGTCTCACTTTGTTGTCCAGGCTGGAGTGCAGTGTCACAGTCATGGCTCACTGAAGCCTCGACTTCCCAGACTGAAGTGATCCTCCCACTTTAGCCTCCCTAAGTGCTGGGATTACAGGTGTGAGCCACCACACCTGGCCATAATTTTTTAATGAGCTATTCCAAATTATATTCCAAATTTCATGTCCCTTTACTCCTAAGCACTTCAGTTCTTCACTAAGAATAGGGATATTGTATTACATCAATGGAGTTCAGTTATCAATTTGAGTAAATTTAATATTGATACAATACTTTGATATAATCTACCATCTGTATTCCACTTTTGTTAGTTGACCTTTTAATATCATTTTTCTTCTCTCTGGGATAGGATCCATTCTAGGATTGGTATTTTATTTAGTCACTGGAATGTTAATATAGCCGTTTTTTGTTTTCATTATATTGGCATTTTTGAAGAATACCTTCTGCCTCTCTATCCATATCCCTTTCCCCCTTTTTAAAGAGAACGATTCTCATTTTAGGTTCTCTGATGTTTTCTCATGTTTAGTTCTAGGTTATGAATTCTTCCTGGCTGGATACTGCATAGGTGTCCTCAGAGTATCTCATCTGAAGGCACATGATGTCTGTCTGCCCCTTATTAGTGATATGAATTTGTGTCACCTGGTCAAGGTATTGTCAAGCTTTTCCACTGTGTTAGTTTCCTGGGGCTGCCATAACAGATTACCATACACTTGGTGGCGTAAAACAATGGAAATTTATTTTCTCACAGTTATGAAGGCCAAAGTCTGAAATTGGTATCACTGGGCTGAAATCAAGGTGTTGGCAGGGATGCTCTCTTTTCAGAGGAGAGACACTGTTCCTTGCCTCTTTCAGCTTTTCGTAGCTGCCTATGTTCCTTGGCTTGTGGCAGCATTACTTTAGTCTTCAGGGTCCTCAACTTCAAACCTCCCTCTGTTCCATCTTCATATTTCCCTCTTTGTGAAATTGCCCTCGACTCTCTTATAAGGACACTTGTGAAGCATTTAGTGCCCATCCAGATAATCCAGGATAATATCCCCATCTCAAGATCCTTCATCATATCTGCAAAGACTCTCTAAATAAGGTAACATTTACAGGTTCCAGGGATTAGCTTTAGGGAACCAGTTTTCAGACTACTACACAATGTATATTCATTTTTTTTTCTTTCTTGAAGCTAATAAGTAACCTTTGGGTAGATATTTGTAAGATCATGAAAACAAAATTATCCCCTGGATTTAGCATCCATTGATGATTCTTGCCTGACTCAATGTTTATATAATAGTTACAAAATAATGATTTTCCAATTCCTGTACCTCTCCACCTTTGCTGTTACCCTTCCTTCTCCCTTTATCTGTGTCTCTTTGTTTATGCATCTACGTTTCTCTGTGTATCTATAGAGCTGTGTATCTGTGTCTGTATATCTATATATTGTATCCATGAATCTGTCCATCTATCCCTAATTGATCTGGACTCACATATCTTTTTTTTCTAGTAGTTTAGAATGCATTAATACATTTAATTATTTTGATTCACAAATTGTCCCAGCTTTGATCAGTAGGAGCCCTTTTAAGCTGGATTCTGTGTCCTTGTAACTTCCTCTCATCCTATTTTCTTTTTTTTTTAATTTCAGCACTTGTTATTTTTAGGCATAACAAGATGTTCAGTGCTCATCTTGAATTTATTCTGCTCCTGCCCTGAAATCTACCATTTCTTCAAGGAACCCTAGTTGCTTTTTGTGGATAATGGTGTTAAAGACTATGCTGCTTCTCAGTTTATTGTATTTTAGCTCCACATCCATCCTTCATTGCTTTGTCAGATCTCCTTTTCCAGCTGGTATGGATGAGCTTAGTCAGTAGAAGGTGTTGGAAGGACACTGTAGGAAGTAGGGTTTTGGTGTGCTTCCGTTCCTATTTGCTCTGTGCTGCCAGTGGCATGTGTGGGATGCCTAGTGGTACTCATCCCCTAGGAAATTTTGTTGTCAGTTACTGCCTGCGGCTCCTTGCCTTTCAGCCTGGATCTGCTGGCACCACAACAGAGCTTCCTGCTTGCCAGTCTCAGCCTGTAGTTCCTTGCCCATGAAGTTTGACCCTCCTACTATCATATTAGAACAGCTATGTCAGGGACAACCAGTGGGTTACAGCCACATTGCCTCCAATGAGATCTGAATTCCAGCCTTGGCAAGGAGGCACCTCTTTCAGGTATTTCCTTTGGTTTTCCTCCTCAATCTAGGCATTCCTAAGAGTTGTCTTTTATTTCTTCTTAGTAGTTAATTCTGGGTAAATAGTTAATAATTCTTTATAAGACTCCCTATTTAAATTGCTGTATGGATTTCATTTTCTGTCCAGACCCTGGCTGCTACAGAGATCACTATCTGGACAGTAGGTATGCTTCTTGCAACTTACATCTAAGCTTTTTTCAACAGCCAGAGATAGGAAATGTAATACATTTATCTATATGCATAGGTATAATGCACACATTTATACATACCTCTAATCATTTGCAAACCTGCATATATATATGTATATGTGCACGTGTATTATATAGATATACATATATTTTAGAATTGTTTATAATACCTTTAGTGAAACAAAATTTTATATGTTCAATTATATATTTAGTTCTCTTTGTACTCTCCTCCCACCTCCTGGTTTTGGGTTTCTGGTCTTGACTAGAAATGTCTCCTAATGCCTACCTGTTTTACAAGATGATTATTATAGTACTAGTTAAAAAAAAAGTTTAAAAAATAATTCTTGAGGAATTTATATTTGAACAGGATGTCAGATGATGTTTCACTTTACCTTTTTTTTTACAGATGAAATGGACTTATAAGATCACTTGTTAGATAACCCACCTTTTTCTCAATGAAGTTGAATTATTATCTTTGTTATGTATAGACTTCATGTGAGTTTTCACTAATTAAGGATTTTCTCTTTTGTGGCATTTATTTGTCTATTCTTATATAAATACCTATGTCTATATCACATTGATTTTTATGCAGCGGCTTTACAGAGTATGTTCTGATAGCTAATACCAGCTATATTTCTTATCAACATTGGGGAAATTATTGCCTTTCAAGATCAGCCTGGAGTTCCTGGGGCTCTTACAGTGATAATTATTGGTTCTAAGAGGCTGTGCCAGTTATCCCTTTATTGCTTCTTAGCTTCAAATCTCTTTCTTCATTTCCTCCTTGGTTAATGGGTAGGATTCTTTCAGTATTTTTTCTTTATGGTGAATACACTGTTAAGCTTAGCAACGGAGGGCACTCCATTTCAGGAGTATAGGGGGCTTGTCTTCCTTCTTCCAGTATCCTATGGATTTTGTTTTTTCTTGCTCTTTTTGCATTGTTGCCAGAGCCATTCTGCCTTGGCCACACAATCTCTTGATAAGCTTGCAGGCTCAGCCAGTTTGGTGATCACCTAGCTAAGGACACCAAGGTGCCGCAGTCCTATTGGAGACTGAGTTTCTAACTCTCTGGCTCCTTCTGTGTACCCGGAATTTGTCTGTGTATCTGCCCCTCAGCTTTGGCCTGCTAGCACCCTGCAGAGTTGTTTCCTGTGTCCCTTGTTCCCCCTCCCTGCCAACACATTTTGGACTCTAGACCTGGTTGCCCTCCTGGAGAGTACGCTCCTAATAACCCCCTCTCCTTCTACAGGCCTGTCTGCTAGCCTTGGTCTGCTTTAACCCCAGAAAGTTGTTTCCTATGGTCTTCCCACTGCAGATGGTAGGTACCCCAGGACTTGCATTACCTTGCTGGTGAGTTGGTTCCTCATACCATGACTGTGTGCTCACCTGTCAGCCTTGGCATGCTTGAATTCTGGAGGAGTCTTTCCTGTTCTTCTGGCAACTGTGGTTCAACGATGGCCCAGGGAACCTAGCAAACTTTTTTTCCATCCAATGGCTGCAACCCAACCACACCTTCTCTACAGAGATCCGAATCCCAGCCTTGGAGAAGAGTTCCCCTTTCTAAGTTGTTCCTTCTTTGGGTATTCTCCCTCACCCTAGGATATTCTTCAGAGTTCTCTTTTTACCTTTATTGTTACTCCACTCTCATGGCTAATAATTTTTTTTTTTTGAGATGGAGTCTTGCTCTGTTGCCCAGGCTGGAGTGCAGTGGTGTGATCATGGCTCACTGCAGCCTCTACCTCCGGGTTCAAGCGATTCTCCGGCTTCAGCCTCTTGAATAGCTGGGATTACAGGCTACCATGCCCAACTAATTTTTGTATTTTTAATAGAGATGGGGTTTCGCCATGTTGCTCAGGCTGGTCTCGAACTCCTGAGCACAAAGTGATCTGTCCGCCTCAGCCTCCCAAAGTGCTGTGCTGGTATTACAGGCATGAGCCACTGCGCCTGGCCTCATGGCTAATTTTTTTTATATTAAACTTTTCCCTGTTCAAATTACTGTGTGGCTTCTGTCTCTTGATTGAACCCTATATTGATACTCTGATTTAGGAAGAGTTCTGAATGATCTGAAGTAATTCTGAATGACCTGTTTCCATTGGCTGGTAGTCTACATGGAACAGGGGTTTCTCCAGGCTGATTATAGGATTACAGTATTCACTGAACTTGACACTTGCTTCCTCAGTACGTTTTACATTTCACGCCTACTTGAGATTTGGGGACAAGATACAGAGAATCTCACATAGTATAGCAACATCAGTGGCATTTGTGCCAGAATGAAGTGATCATCAAAAGCTTATTGCTACTATTCTTTAATTTTAACAAATATTTAATAGTAACAATTTATGATTTTTTAATATCTTGAGATATATGTAATAGAGGTAACTTGGGCACATAATAAAAAGAAAAACATTTTTATTTTCTTATGTGAAAGCAATTGAGGGATGTGGGCAACAGGTCAATAGCAATAGAACCATTAGTTCTGATGATGGGTCTTCAATCCATTCTGTTCCCCTACCAAGCATTTGGGAGTTCATGAACTCTTACCGTTGTAGGCTGTTAGCATGTGACTGCCTGCTTTTGGCCTTTGACCTTATATTCCATGGTGCTTCACATTTCTGTTGTTTTCTCTTTACAGTTACTATTCAATATCAATGGTTCCTTACTTTTTTTCTTGATACCTTTCCCATTTAAAGATGTATGTGTGTGCCCTTTCCCATTGCAACTACTACCTCTTTTGACCACCATTTTGCTGTTTGTTTTTTTTTTTTTAAGATGGAGTTTTGCCCTTGTCACCCAGGCTGGAGTGCAGTGGTGCAATCTTGGCTCACTGCAACCTCCGCCTCCCAGGTTCAAGCGGTTCTCCTGTCTCAGCCTCCCGAGTAGCTGGGAATACAGGCATGTGCCACCACACCTGGCTAATTTTTGTATTTTTAGCAGAGACGGGGTTTCACCATGTTGGCCAGGCTGGTCTCGAACTCCTGACCTCAGGTGATCCACCTGCCTCAGCCTCCCAAAGTGCTGGGATTACAGGCGTGAGCCACCGCGCCCGGCCCCATTTTGCTGTTAAAGTGCCTGGCAAGCATGTTTACATGCCAAAAATCTATTACCTCATGCTTTTATTTTGCTCAACTTATTTTTCAAGTATTTATATGTCAGGCGCGGTCCTACGTGCTGAAGATACATTCATAAGACTGAAACAGTCTCTGGATCATGTAGCTATTAATAATCTTCTTTGACTAATTTCAGTCCAGCTATCAATTATCTAGAAATTTTATGGGCATATTTAATTCAAGAAGCTTTCTAAAAATTGGCACTGAGGATATCATGATGCAAACAGCCCCTCTAAGAAACTTAGAGTCTTATGGTTGAAGAAGTGAGCATTAGGATCCAGAGTTGAGAAAGAGAACTGTTTCAGGATGTGGTATTCTCACCATCAAGTTTTTAAGACTTGTGGCACTCTAAATATGAAGATGAAGATAATTTTAAGAAGTCATCAGTCTGAGGAGTTTTAAGAATCATGCTTCTAAACCTACAGCCAGTATTTTTTCTTGTGTTCTAAAAGTAAGAACCCTGCCTTGCCCTTTAATTATAATTTTCTCTCTTTCTCTTTGATTCCTTGACAAGACCCTAAGCTGCATGATCCAGAGACTGCTTTGGTGTTATGAATGTATCTTCAGCATGTAGGACTGTGCCTGACATATAAATAAGTTGAGCAAAATAAAAGTATGAGTTAAGATTTAAAAGGTAGAGTAGTTATAGGTGATGATGTCATCAAAAGTCAATCCCAAAGCCAAAATTAAAATGTTTGATTATACCTAGTATGGAGCAATAGATATACAACAGGAAGAGTATAAATTCATACAGTTTCTTTGGAGGGCAATTTGAAATAAACCTTTTCTATTCTGTTTTTAATTAATTTTTCTACACATCTATTCTCATGTCTACATGGGAGATATATATGAATGACTATTAGATGTTTTGGTCTTAGATTCTTCTTTATATTCTTAAAAATTATTGAAGACTTCAAAGGACTGTTGTTTATGTAGGTTTTAGCTATTAATATTTACCATACTAGAAATTTTAGAAATTGTATTAAATAAAAATAAAAAATACACTACATGTTAACATAAAAGGATGTTTTTATGAAAAATGATTCTTCCAAAGCAAAAAAGAAATAGCAAGAAGAGTGGTGTTGGTTTATGTTTTTACAAATCTCTAATGTCTGGCTTAAGAGGAGATAGCTGGATTCTTATAGCTGTTTCTGTATTCAGCCTGTTGAGATATGTTATTTTGGTTGAAGTACATGAGTAAAATTCAGGGTCACAAAGATAATGCAGTTGAAAAAGGGAGGAGTGTTTTTTTTTTTGAGACGGAGTCTCGCTCTGTTGTCCAGGCTGGAGTGTAGTGGCGTGATCTCGGCTTACTGCAAGCTCTGCCTCCTGGATTCATGCCATTCTCCTGCCTCAGCCTCCCGAGTAGCTGGGACTACAGGTGCCAGCCACCACGCCCAGCTAATTTTTTTTTGTATTTTTAGTAGAGACGGAGTTTCACCATGTTAGCCAGGATGATCTCGATCTCCTGACCTCGTGATCTGCCTGCCTCAGCCTCCCAAAGTGCTGGGATTACAGGGGTGAGCCACCGCGCCCGGCCTGGGAGGAGTGTTTTAATACCTTTTTCAGATAATTAAAGGTATTCTTTGATACACCAAAACTTGATGTGTGGTAATTTCATAAAGGCTAGTTGCATTGTGGAATCAGAACCCTGTAAATGAACCTTTTGTACTTTGTTACATTACAATCCGTTGGTCTGTCTTAGATTTGAATATATCTTTTACCTGGGCATGAGTTTGTAACACCATGTATTGGTCATTTGAAAAATATTGGTTTCCTGAATTATGCAGATTTTGTAAACACTTACCCATTTTATTATACAGTGTTAAAAATCATTAATATCATCACAGATTTCTAAGGAAAAAATTTTAAAGTATTGGGAAGCTGTCAAGCTTACAGTGGTTTGACAGCTTGAATTTTATCACTGATAACAATACTGTTGGTTATTTTCCTTGAATTGTTAGGCCCAGTTGTTTATGTTTGAGAAAATGTCTGTCAAATATCCAAATCTGAATAGTTATAGTTTGTTTCATTTCACAGAATTTAAAAAATTATTGTTCTCAAGGGTTGAGATTTAATAAAGTTAATAATTTTTACTGCTTTATCAAGGACATTCTAAATGAAACTGGCATTACATTTCTTTTTTTTTTTTTAAATATGAGTGAGTGGCATATTATACTCGTAATCATTATATTCCGAGTAAGTATAGTTTGGTGCTGTTGCCTTGATTTCATGCTAAGAGGTCAGCAGTTTTATTACCATTGCTTTTAGATCATCAGTGCAAATGTTAGTGCAGTAAAAAAATGCAACTGCTTTTGTAGTAGTATTATTAAAATGGTTTGACCTTGCTGATTGCCTGAAAGGCCCTGCAGGGATCATCTGCAGTCTGTGGATGGCTCATAGAGAACACACGTACACACATATATACATATACACAGGGTGTTCATTGCAGCATTATATTCAGTAGAAGAAAACTGAAAATTGAATGTTTCTCTATCTGTGATTGTATGGATGTGCCATAATTTAGCCAAGTAATAGGATTTTGGGGCTGTTTGAAATACACTTGTATGGGCCGGGCCCGGTGGCTCATGTCTGTAATCCCAGCACTTTGGGAGGCCGAGGCGGGCGGATCGCAAGGTCAGGAGATCGAGACAATCCTGGCTAACATGGTGAAACCCCGTCTCTACTAAAAATACGAAAAATTAGGCCGGGCATGGTGGCGGGCACCTGAAGTCCCAGCTACTCAGGGGGCTGAGGCAGGGGAATTGCTTGAACCAGGGAGGCGGAGCTTGCAGTGAGCCCAGATCGTGCCACTGCACTCCAGCCTGGGTGACAGAGCAAGACTCCATCTCAAAAAAAAAAAAAAAGAAATACACTTGTATGGAACAATATCCAAGATATGTTTTTAAGCTAAACAAAACAAACGCGTATAATGATGTTTAGTAAGATCCTGTGTATGTGTAAATAAACATATATGAATCATACCTATACACATTTGTATAGTGTATGTAACCTCTGAGGGAGTGGTAGGAGGGATATTTTTACTTGTTGCATTGCACTTTCTGTACTGTGGAATTTAACACATTTATCTTTAATGTTAGAGGATACATAGCTGGCTTCTTAAAAAAGAAACTTGTCACTGGGTGAAAGAGTGGCTTTTAAATTGGTTGAAGTTCTTAGCTGTTATTATCAGCTGCTAATGGATTATCTTAAACTTTTCTCCACATCCTTCCATATTATAGAATGAAAGTTTCATATTAATCTTAATAAGTAAGCAATTTATCTCTTTTAATAAATGGTACCGTTCATTTGTAATGTTTGATAACTGTAATGAACCTTGTAGGCAGCAGCTGTGGTTGTGTGGAAGGAATTGTTGGTTAATAATCTACTTTTTTTTTTTTTTTTTAATGAGGCGGAGTCTCGCTCTGTCACCCAGGCTGGAGTGCAGTGGCGCCATCTCGGCTCACTGAAACCTCCACCTCCCGGGTTCAAGAGATTCTCCTGCCTCAGCCTCCTGAGTAGCTAGGATTATAGGTGTCTGCCACCATGCCCGGCTAATTTTTGTAGTTTAGTAGAGATGGGGTTTCACCATGTTGGCCAGGCTGGTTTCAAACTCCTGACCTCAGGTGATCCTCCCGCCTCAGCCTCCCAAAGTCCTGGGATTACAAGTGTGAGCCACTGCACCCAGCCAATCATCTACCTTTTTATAGGTCCTCTTACATTAGTAAGTAAACTTCAGCAGCAAAGGAGTCCTCTTGTAATTTTGCATATGATCGAGCTGATGTAGTTATTGTTCTAATGGTATGGTGAGAAGTACTTATTTTTTGCAGTCAGATAGATTTAGACCCGTATCTTCTGTTAACTATTTACTGCCAGTGTGATCTTATACAAATTAATATCTGAGTCTAGTTTTCTTATTGGTAAGGTAAGGATAATACCTTACTGTTCTAACAATTATATCTGTATAATATTTAGCTCCATGCTAGATGCATGTCAGCTAGTGTTAGCTATTATCTGTTACTCAGTGAGTTTACCATTCCTCTAACATACCTTACTCTCTTGTGTCTTCTTCTTTAGTTTTGTGTTGCTCCGCTGTGAAGTTTCTGGTTAGCCTTTCAGAAGATATCTCTTCTAGGAAGTTTGCCATGCTTCTTTTCAGCTGAGTTAACTGTTTACCCTTCCTGGTTATTCATCTCATCAGTATAGCACTTAACTCATGTATTTTTCCCCATTTTTTTTAAATTGACAAAATTTCAAATTTATGCTCCCCCCCCCCACCAAGAGAATAGTATAGTGAACACATATATATACGTTTTTTTCCAAATTCATGGATTGTTAATATTTTGCCACATCTTCTGCATTTCTGTCTCTATGTATGTGTTTCTCATTTTTTCCTGAACCATTTGAGAATAAAATGCAGACATCATGATATTTCATCCCTACTCCCCATGTTTCTGCTATGATCATAATACCATATTGCACCTATGAAATTTAACATTGATGCAATATTATAAAATAGGCAGTCCATCTTCAGATTTCTGTAGTTGTCCTTGAAATGTCCTTTTTAGCTTTTTTTTTTTGATTCATAATCATGCCTCTCTTGGTTTCTTTAATCTAGAATAGTTCTTATTTTTTTTCTTTTTGATTTTTCATAACACTGACATTTTTAAAGAACGTAGAACAGTAGTTTTGCCAGTTTCACAAGCTATATCTGTCTGATTGTTTTCTCATGAATAGATCATTGTTTGTTGTTTGTTTTCTTCTATCTGTCATCAGAGTATGACTTCCTGTGAGAGAGAGACAGGCAGCTCCCAATAGCTAAGAACTGGCCAGGCACTATATTGGTTTGACCTTGGTGTTTCTTAGAGTTGGCCTGGAATTCACAATTAGGCTGTGGTGTTCTCGTATTGAACAAAAACAATTCCATAGAACATTGAACATTAAGACAAGATCACTCCATGTCCTTGGATGACGACAAAAACAAGACCATCCTGTAGTCATGTCTGAACACAGACAAAAACATAAACATTGTTCAAGTCACAAAAATGATCAAATATCCTCATTCTGGTTACAATGAATGACTACTGCTTCTTTATAAATCATAACCTTAGCCTTGCTTTATTTTTCCTGCTTCATAGTAAGATACATTAAAAAATCATAGAATCATAGAATTAGAATTGAGAGAATCATAGAATTACCTCCACTTCCTGACAGCATCCAATCCAGGGCAGAACCCCACTTCCTTGAACCCTTCCCTAACACAAGCCAAAGCCCTGTAAGTCCTTTCTGATACCCTCTTGGTGAAATGCCCCAGTGTTCCCAATGGTATGTATTCTCCTTAGTTGTAAGAAGTAATAAATTCAGCTTGTTTAACTACAGGTGTGTTCCTGGTGCTGTTTGGCTAGAGAGAATTTAATCCAGAGAATCTTGACCTCTCTCTTTCTTTTTACTCTGTGAATGAACTTTTGATATAGTTAAGAATCATCAGCATTAAGCTTTTCTAGATAATTTCATACTGGTCAAGGATAAGTTTTAGTTCCATGAACTAGCTTTTGATGACTAACATGCATTTTAAAAAAGTTGTAAACTCTGCTATTTAGGAGTTCTTCTAAATAATAAAAACAACATAGGGAAGATACCAAAGACAGCTTATAAATCAAACAGAGAGGCTTTATTTTTAGTGAGTAATGAGCTTAGTTAGAATGTTTGGATTTAATTCCCTCCCCTCCACAGCTTTTAATAACCATTGTTGGGTGATTGGGAGTGGGAGAGTGTCTTATATATATTATACACACACAGAAATATATAGGTATACCTCAGAGATATTGCAGATTTGGTTTCAGACCATTGCAATAAAGTGAGTCACACAGAATATTTTGGTTTCCTAGTACATATAAAAGTTGTGTTTATACTGTACTGTAGTCTATTGAGTGTGCAGTAGCACTATGTCTTAAAAAAGTACGTACCTTAATTAAGAAATACTATATTGCTAAAAATGCTAATTTTCATCTGAGCCTTCAGTATGTGGTAGTCTTTTTGCTCATGGTGCGTCTTGTCTCCATGTTGATGGCTGCCAACTGATCAGGGTGGTGGTTGCTGAAAGTTGGGGTAGTTGTGGCAATTTCTTAAAATAAGACAACGATGAGATTTGCTGTATCCATTGACTCTTCCTTTCACAAAAGATTTCTCTGTAACATGTGATGGTGTTTGATAGCATTTTACCTACAGTAGAACTTCTTTCAGAATTGGAGTCAGTCCTCTCAGATCCTGTGACTGCTTTATCAACTAAGTGTATGTGACATTCAGAATCCTTTGTTGTCATTTCAACAGTGTTCACAGCATCTTCACCAGGAGTAGACTCCTTCTCAAGAAACGACTTTCTCTGCTCGTCCATAAGAAGCAACTCTTTGTTCATTTAACTTTTATCATGAGATTGCAGCAATTCAGTCACGTCTTCAGGCTCCTCTTCCAGTTTTCATTCTCTTGCTATTTCTACCACATCTGCAGTTACTTCCTCCACTGAAGTCTTGAACCCCTCAAAGTCATCCATGAGGGTTACAATCAGCTTCTAAAATCTTATTAATGTTGGCTGGGCATGGTGGCTCATGCCTATAGTCCCAACACTTTGGGAGGGCAGGGTGGGTGGATCACTTGAGGTCAGGAGTTCGAGACCAGCCTGGCAAACATGGTGAAAAATTAGCCGGACATGGTGGTATACGCCTATAATTCCAGCTACTCGGGAGGCTGAGGCAGGAGAATTGCTTGAACCCGGGAGGCGGAGGTTGCAGTGATTTGAGATTGCGCTACTGTACTCCAGCCTGGGTGACAGCACGAGACACTGTATCAAAGAAAAAAAAAAAAGTTGATAGTTTTACCTTCCCCCAAATGTTGTCAATGGCATCTAGGGTGGTGAATCCTTTCCAGAAGGTTTTCAACTTATTTTGCTTAGGTTTCTGAGAGGAATCACTTGTATGTCATCTATAGCCTATGAAATGTATTTCTTAAATAAATAATAAATAATAAACCATTGTTGGGTAATTGGGGGTGAGGAAGTGGCTTATATATATTATATACACACAGAAATATATAGGTAAATAAGGAGGATTGAAAGTACAAAATTACTCCTTGATCCCATGGACTGTAGAATTGATGTTGTGTTAGCTGGCATGAAAACATAATTAATCTCCTTGTACATCTCCACCAGAGCTTCGAGTGAACCAGATTCATTGTCAGTGAGCAATAATATTTTGAAAGGGCAGGGCACAGTGGCTCATACCTGTAATTCCAGCACTTTGGGAGGCCAAGGCGGGTGGATCACGAGGTCAGGAGTTCAAGACCAGCCTGGCCAACATGGTGAAACCCCGTCTCTACTAGAAATACAAAAGTTAGCCAGGCATGGTAGTGTGTACCTGTAATCCCGGCTAATCAGGAGGCTGAGACAGGAGAATCACTTGAACCTGGTAGGCGGAGGCTGCAGTGAGCTGAGATCGCGCCACTGCACTCCAGCCTGGGACAGAGTGAGACTGTCTCAAAAAAAATTTTTTTGAAAGGAATCTTTTTTTCTGTGCAATAGATCTCAACAGTGGTCTTAAAATATTCAGTAGACCATGCTATTAACAGATGCACTGTCATCGAGGCTTTTTCTGTTGATGGAACACAGGCAGAGTAGATTTAGCCTAATTCTTAAAGGCCCTAGGATTTTCAGAATGGTCAGTAAGCATTGGCTTCAACTTAAAGTCACCAGCTGCATTAGCTTCTAACAGAAGAGTCAGCCTGTGCTTCGAAGTGTGGAAACCAAGCATGACTTCTCCTGTCTAGGTATGAAAGTGTTGGATAGCATTTTCTTCCAAAAGAAGGCTGTTTTATCTCCATTAAAAATCTGTTCTTTAGTGTAGCCATCTTTATCAATGATTTTCGCTAGATCTTCTGTATAACTTGAAGCAGCCTCTACAGATCAGCCCTTGCTGCTTCACCTTGCACTTTTATGTTACGGTGATGGCTTCATTCCTTAAACCTCATGTACCAACCTCTGCTAGCTTCCAACTTTTCTTTTGCAGCTTCTTCACCTCTCTCAGCCTTCATAGAATTAGAGAGTTAGGGCCTTGCTCTGGAGTATGCTTTGGTTTAAGGGAATGTTGGGGCTGGTTTACTTTCTCCATATCAGCAATAACGCTGCTTCACTTTCTTATCATTCATGTGTTCACTGGAGTAACACTTTTAATTTCTTTCAGTAACTTATTTTTTGTATTCACGACTTGGCTAACTGGTGCAAGAGGCCTAACTTTCAACATTTCTTGGTTTGTGTTATGCCTTCCTTACCGAGTCTTGCTCTGTTTCCAAGGCTGGAGTGTAGTGATGCGATCATGGCTCACTGCAGTCTTGAACTTTGGGACTCAAGCAGTCCTCCCTCCTCAGCCTCCTGAATATCTGGGACTACAGGGGACTACAGGCATACTACAGGCATGTGCCACCATGCCCGGCTAATTTTTTTTTTTTTTTTTTTGTAGAGACGGGGTTTCACCATGTTACTTAGGCTGGTCTCAAACTCCTGGGCTCAACTGATCAGCCCGCCTCAGCCTCTGAGAGTATTGGGATTATAGGTGTAAGCCACTGCACCCTGCCTTATTTCCAGCTTTTGATTTAAAGTGAGACACCTGTAACTCTTCCTTTCACTTGAACACTTAGAGGCCATTGTAGAGGTTAATTGGTGTACTTTCAATATTGTTGTGTCTCAGGGAATACAGAGGCCTGAGGAAAGGGAGATTGGGTACAGCTGGTTGGTGGAGCAGTCAGAACACACTCAACACCTATTAACTAAGTTTGCGTTTTATATTCTTGTGGTTTGTGGTGCCTCAAAACAATGTTATTGTATTGCAAATGCCAGTACCAAAGATTACTGATCATAGATCACTACAACAGATATAATAATAATGAAAAAGTTTGATTGTGACATTTACCAAAATGTGACACAGAGACATAAAGTGAGCACATGCTGTTGGAAAAATGTTGCCACAAATCTTCAATTTGTAAAAAAATGCAGTATCTGTGAAGAGCAGTAAATTGAAATTCAATAAGATGAGGTATATAATATTGCACTGTAAACCTCGGGAAAAATTTGTTTTGCATTTTCTATGTTTCTATGTCTATAATTTTTCTACTCTGTTCACAGGAAAATAAACATTGGTACTACAAAGGGAAATTCAAAGCTGTAGTAGGAGAAGCACCTGATTATGATTTCTCATGTTGTTACAGCCTTTCAAGTGAAATTTTGATTATGTTGAAGGATACACAAGTAGAGAATGGTTGCAAGGTTATTGTCTGCCATTAGGATGACTGTTGAATCTTGCTGCTACTTTTTTGAAAATTTTCAAATTAGGTTGTCTTTATTAAATATATTAGTTCTAGAAGTTATTTCATTAAAATTCATCTGTGTTTTTTCATTTATGCTACGAGTACTATTTTTTTCTTTGTAGTAGACTTTACGCAACATTTTATTGTGAAAATTTTCAAGCATATAGACAAGTTGAAAGATGTGGACAGTGACATTTTGCTATATTTTCCTTATCATATATCTTTCCATAATCTGTCTTGTTTTTATGCATTTCAGCATAAAGTGCAGATACCAGTGTCTTTCACCCATACATATTTTAACATATTGTCATTAATAAGAGTTCAGTATTTGTTTACATTTTGTTTAGATAAGTTTACACACAGTTAAATGCACAAATCTTAAGTATCCCATTGTATGTGTGACAAACATATACCTGTATAACCCAAACCCCTATCAAGATATAGGGCATTACCAACACCTAAAAGTTTGCTTCTTGCCCCTTCCCTGTCAATCCCTGCCCTTAAGCTACCCAGAAGGAACTTTTTCTACTATATATTAGTTTTGTACATCCTGGATTTTAAATGGAATCACGCTGTACAAACTTTTCATGTCTGGCTTCCCTCCTGCAGCATGTTTTTGGGATTCATCCATACTGTTGTGTTCATCAGAGGTTCATTCCTTGTTATTGCTGTTTAGTTTAAATGTACCACAGTCTGTTTATCCACTGTTCTATCAATGGGCACCTGGAATGTTTCCAGTTTGGGGCAATTTTAAGTAAATCTACAATAAACATCTTTATATGGACATATGTTTCTCTTGGGTAAATACCTAGGAATATAATTTCTGGATCATAAGATAGGTGTATGTTTTATTTTATAAGGAACTAAGAGACTTTCCAAAAGTGCTTGTATATTTGATATTCCCATCAACAATGTATGAAATTTCTGGCTGCTTCACACTCTTACCAACATTGGGCATTATCAGCCTTTTTTAATTTTAGCCATTCTGGGGCATGTGTAATGGTATCTTATTGTGGTTTTAACTTTCAGTTCCTGACGGCTAATAGGCTAAAGATTTTTTCACATGCTTATTAGCCACTCATATATCCTTTTTTTTTGAAGTATCTGTTTACATCTTTTGTCTATTTTGTGGGGCTGGAGTTCTTTGTATATCTTAGACACCAGTCGTTTGATGTTTTGCAAATGTTTTCTCCCAGTCAGTTGTTCGTCTATTCATGTGTTAATGGTCTCTTAAAAATTTTATTATTATCAGGAAATGGGAAAACATTAGTTTATTTTAGATTCAGCAGGTACATGTGCAGATTTGTTACCTGGTTATATTGTGTGGTGTTGAGATCTGGGCTTCAAATGAACTTACCACCCAAATAATGAATATAGTACCCAATAGATAGTTTCTTAACAGTTATCTCCTTCTTTCCATCCCCGCTTTTGGAGTTCTCAATGTCTGTTGTGCCCATCTCTGTGTCCATGTGTACCCAGTGTTTAGCTCCCACTTAAAAGTGAGAACATGTGGTATTTGGTTTTCTGTTCCTGTGTTAATTCACTTAGGATAATGGCCTCCACCTGCATCCATGTTGCTGCAAAGGACATTATTTCATTCTTTTTTATGGCTGTGTAGTATTCCATGGTGTATATGTACCACATTTTCTTTATCCAGTCCACTGTTGATGGGCACCTAGGTTGATTCCATGTCTTTACTATCGTGAATAGCACTACGATAAACATGAGAGTGTAGGTGTCTTTTTGGTAGAATGATTCGTTTTCCTTTGGGTATATACCCAGTAATAGGATGGCTGGATCAAATGGTAATTTTAGTTCTTTGAGAAATCTCAAACATGCCTTCCACAGGGGCTGAACTAATTTACACTCCCACCAACAGTTTATAAGCATTCCCTATTCTGTGCAACCTCGCCAGCATCTGTTATTTTTTGACTTTTTAGTAACAGCCATTCTGACTGGCATGAGGTGGTGTCTCATTATGGTTTCGATTTGCATTTTTCTAATGATCAGTGATGTTGAGCATATTTTCATGTTTGTTGGCTGCTTGTATGTCTTCTTTTGAGAAGAGTCTGTCTGTTCATGTCCTTTGCCCACTTAATGCCATTCTTCTGTTGTTATTCTGAAGTATTTTAGGAACAAAGAAATGAGCATGTTCCTTTATCGTATTTGTTCTGATAATAGGATTCAATGTAATTGAAGCTTATTTAATGCATAACCCTTTATTTTTGGTTGTGCACTACTCTGAAAAAAAGTCTCAATTCATATCTGCTTGTCAAAGTTTAGTGGAATAGAAACAATAAATCAATAGCAGTACAAGAAATGCTTTTGACATTTATTCCATTGCTTAAGTGTTTTACTTTAGCTTAATGGAGAAGATTAAAGCCTCCAATTTTTTTTTGTATTTGTTTCAGATAGAAATAAGATCTTTTTAGGGTACTATTAAATATTAAGAAGACTTCCATTAAGATTTCTCAACAAGTAGTTAATGCATTTAAAGATATTCTCAGGTAGTCTAGTGGGTCAAAGTATAAAATAATGTGTGCATTTTCTAGGTTATTTTTCTAAGCTTTTAGATGTTTACACAATTACTAATATTAATTTATAGGCACTTGAATTTACTTTTTTCTTTAAGCGATAACTATATTGGACTATAATCATAAGCACTGATTCATACTTTCTTATTTAGGCAAAATAAGGAATAATGAGCATTTAATCTAGTTGGCCAGTAGATTTTTTCCTAAGATTAAATCATTTAGATTGTTTTCAAGCCAGAGAATTGGTTTTACCTATTGGGGTTCTTGCAGATTTGTTTCTAGATAATATTAGTGATAGGTAAGCGAGTAGTGTCATTTTAGATTTGGTATTGTTATTGGGAGGGTTGAGTTTAATTGTTGCATTTGAACTGAGAGCATTTGAACTGAGAACTAAGAAAAACAAATGTGGCATAATGGATTATGTTGGGTTTGGTTATTTGTGAGAAAACTCAAGATAGAAGTCCATTTCTTCCTCATGGCAAAAGATTTGGAGGTAGCCTCAAGCGTGGCAGCTGCCCAGTGATCTGGAATCCAAGCTCCTGTCTTGTTGCTGTGTCATTTTTTAATGAGATGTAGTCTCGCTATGTTGCCCAGGCTGAGTTGAACTCCTAGGCTCAAGTGATCCTTCTGGCCTCAGCCTCCTGAGAAGCTGGGATTATAGGTTTGCGCCACTGTACCCTGTTTGTGTCATTTTTAACCTTCCACTTCTTGGTTCTTCTTGAAAGGGGGAAGGGACAAAGAAGAAAGGGAGAGAGGTTGTATGTCATTTGTCTTTTAAAAAGATTTCTGGGAAGCTACAGTATAATTTGTTTATATGCTATTTGCCAGAACTTAGTTTATATCTATGCCTAACTGCAAAGCAAGCTGGCAATTACAATTTTTTTTTTCCTGGGCTGTCATGTACCCATTTGAATAAAAATTGAGGAAGAAAGCAAGAACAAATATTTGGATAGCAGTGGACAGCCTATTCCATAGTAAGTAAAGCAGTATACAGAATGTTAGGAATCCTCTAATTGACTGCTACTTGCCTGCTGACCTTTATTTGGTCCTAGGCTCTATCAAGATACTGATAAAAGTTATAGACCCTATCCTTAGAAAAATGCACCTGTGTATATATATGCATGGAATTCTGTGGGATTATTGTCTCTGGAGCCCATCCATGAACCATTGCCTAAGAGGTTGTGTATGGATCCACTGTTAAGATTTCCTGTTATAGGCTGGGTATGGTGGCTCATGCCTGCAATACAATCCCAGCACTTTGGGAGGCCTAGATGGGAGGATCACTTGCATCCAGGAATTCGACATTAGCCTGGGCAGCGTAGTGCGACCCTCTCTCTACAAAATAATTAGCTGGCTGTGGTGGCGTGTGCCTGTAGTCCCAGCTTCTTGGGAGGCTGAAGTGGGAGGATTGCTTGAGCCTGGGAGGTTGAGGCTGCAGTGAGGTTTTGATCACTCTGGGTGACAGAGTGAGACCCTGTCTCAAAAAAAAAAAAAAAGATTATCTGTGATAATGTTTCATTGTAAGACATTTATTTATTTATTTTGACATGGCTTTTAAAAGTTTTTGTTATTCACTCACACAGTCAATAAAAGCTTGCTAGCATGCTCTGTATTTTAGTCAGTATGATAGAACTTGAAGATTCAAAGAACCATGATATTCTATTAAGTGCTTACTATGTGCCTCGCATGAAACTGGGAACCTTAAGTACATTATCCATTTCCTACATTTTAAAAATGAGGAAATAATCTGCCTAAGATTTTATAGCTAGTGAATGATAGAGGTAGTATTTGAATTCAGGTCCTTTTAGTTATCGTGAAATAGACACTTCACCATAAGCATGAGACACACTGGGCAGAGGGTATTTTAGTGGTTCAGTTTCACTTGCCAGTCATATAGGCACTTGCCTTGCCTATATAACTAGGAATCTCTTTGTGCCTCAGTTTTCTGTTAATACTCTGCAAAGGCACTTAAAATGTTTATGTGGTGATGCTACTTTTCTGATTTTGTATTTTTTTATTGCAATCAGTATGATATATGGCATATGATAAATGTCAACTGGTAATCTAATCTAAGTACTACAAAATGATCATATTTTGAAAATGTCTTATCAGCATTCAAATTTTATGTATCATTTAAAAATTCTATGGAAAGCACCTTTTGATCACCTTGTAAAGCAGAACTCACTGGTGCCATATGTGTGTTCTTTTTTCTCACAAGCATGCTGTTATGTATGCTGACAGCATCACACGTTGAATTTAGCATAAAAGCTTTTTGCTTCAAGCTGAGATTTTTGACCCCACTAATAATACAGATGTTCTCATAATTTCCTCTCTTCAGCCCCTTTATAAATCAAAAAGAGTAGAAAAGGGAAAATTATATGAGTAATTACAGTATTAGATTACTATAGAAAACCATTTCACTTCTTTAAAATTCTCTTTTCATCTTTAGTTTCGAATCACCAGCTTCTTAAATGTCAACTTTCTTAAATTGACAGGCTCTAAATTATGAATGTACCATTTATTTATCGGTTGACACCTTTGTCTCTTGTTTTATCAGAAACATTTTCTTTTCTACTGAGAGTACTGCTGATTCTAATTGTAGAGATTAGATTTGACTTCAGAAGTTTGCATAATAAGCAAAGCAACTAAGTGATAGGCCTGCTGCTGCTTTCTGATCTGTGGACGTAAACTATCATAAACCAGTGTTTGATCATTCTTCCCTTAAGTGTTGATTCTTATTTAATTGTAGGGCGATTTGATGAAACTGTTATCGAAGAGAGAAGACAATGTGCTGAAGACCTGCTACAGTTCTCTGCCAATATTCCTGCTCTTTACAATAGTAAACAGCTTGAAGACTTTTTCAAGGTTTGGTAGTCTTTCTGGAATATTTTATATCTTATTAAATACTTTTGTAATTTGTAGTAAAGTAAAATAAAAAATGCCACTTTTGAATTTCGTTATTCACTATAAAAGTAGAAATTAATAGCTCTATAATAATGTTTATGGCATATTTCCTATTTTTAGTATAGAAATTTATGCTTTTTTTTTTTTTTTAAAGGAACTGGTTCTGCTCTGTTGCTTAGACTGTTGTTCAGTGGCCATTGACAGGTGTGATCATGGCGTACTATAGTCTTGAGTTCCTGGGCTCAAGCCTCCTGTTGCCTCAGACTCCTGAGTGTTTTTGATTCATGGATCTTAAAAAATTGATGCAAAGAGCTTAGAGATTGTTTAACTCACTCTGTCATAATTGAAATACATTAAAAAAAATGAAGCATCATAAAACTCTAGTACTTACCTTCACTTTTTGAAGTGTCTTTCAGTGGCAGATTACTCTTGGAATATAAGCCACTGTAAGTCTATATTAAATTTGTTATTATGTTGACTTGTATAAAGATACAACAAAAATATAAAACTGCACAGTTTTAGAGAGCAGGCCAGTGCAAATTATATTACTGGAGATCATTGGATATTAGTGTTTTAAGTTCCTAGATATGTAATGCTTTCATTTTAAGTTTTTTTTTTTTTTTTTACCATTTTTAATAATAATTTTCTAACTTATTTTGAACTGTATCGGTATATGTTGTCAGTTGGTATTGTTGTATTTAATTACTACATTTTCCCTGTTGCATTGAGTTAACCTTCTAAAAAAAAAGAAATCTAAGTGATTGTGCTGTAATTGTTTTTACTTCTTTAAAATCTATTCACTTGTATAAGTTAAATTTCTTAGCCTATATAACCAGTGATATGTATGAATAGTGAGATATTTAATTTTTCTGATTTTAGTGGATCTACACAGATTATTTATTTATTTATTTTTTTCTGCCAGTGCTTCATCACCTAGGAATTTATTTTTTATGATGTTTTATCTACTGAAGAAAGTTCTTTTGAAAGATATTGCAAATTTACAGTAATAGAAATAATGATAGTAATAGAAGTGTTTATAGTAACAATAACATTTCTGATGATTGACCGTGTTGCTTAATTTTTCACCATTCTGCAAACTAGGCTGAGATAATAAATGTGATTTCTGCATATGGCCCTATGCAGATCTTTAGGATAAAGGCCAAATCAAATTGATAGAGTATTTAGCTCTTTGCTGTTCTTTGTTAATAATTGTTTCTATGTGTCAGGGAGTCTGTTTTTTATGGAAAAAGGCTTTATTATTAAACAAGAATATTGCTTTATAGAAATTGTGAAAAGCTGTCATGCAAATTACCACCTGCCATATGGCTAAAAAAAATTAGGGATTATGGAAGTCCTATTAAATACTTTAAACAATTTAAGTAAAAGTTAGCTGTTCATTGTATTTCTTCTGGATATGGGAATTCCTGATTGTAATTGTTGCTGGAAGTCACTGGGAAATGAGACTGTCATTTTCAGAGTTTGTGAAAGATTGGACAGTTTAAGAGAAGTCAAACTAATCTTGGAAAGTATCTTAGAACTATCTTTAACAGCGTGCTAGGCGGGAACAGGATACTGATTTGGGAATATCAGAGCAGTGGTATTCAGTCATTATCTCTATTTAAATAGAGATAATCAAGCAAGAAAAAAAAACTCATTCCATTAGCTTGAACAAAAAAAAAGGTATTTATTTTTCATATGACAAGAAGTATGAATGAGGAAGGTAGTCCAGGACTGGTATGGAGCTCAGTAATGTCATCAGTGACATAGGTTTCTGGGTTTAGGTGTGAAAGGGAAAAGGCCAAAAGAAACATGGCAGTTTTTAAAAGCTTTCCCAGAAACATGATCTAGAGATAGTCCTTCTTACATCTCATTGGCCAGAACAGGGTCACATGCCCATCCTTAATTTGAAGGAGTCTCGGAAGGTGACTCTTAGCTTTCTAGTTCTGATCATGGATGAAGGCTGTGGGGAAGGTTTTGGGGTAGCTAATTCACAGGGTGTGCTATAGTATCATAGTTTATTTTTCTCTTTAGAGACATTGATGATGCCACATGCAAATGACCATATAGCCACTTGCTTACATTGACTTTAAAAAACCACATACATAAGAGTAGAATGAATAGTATAATGAACTTCTATGACCCATGGCCTGGTTTCAGAAATTATCAGTATATTGCCAAACTTGTTTTATCTATACCTTTCCATCCCATACTCTTCACTGGTTGTTTATTTATTAGTATTAGTACAGTTACTAATTATAATTGTACAATTCACCGATTTTCAGTAAATTTATAGAGTTTTGCACCTATCACCAACATCCAATTGTATTTTATTTTATTCTTTTTTTTTTCTGAGACAGAATCTCACTCTGTTGCCCAGGCTAGAGTGCAGTGGCACAATCTCGGCTAACCGCAACCTCTTGCCTCCCGGGTTCAAGCTATTCTCCTGCCTCGGCCTCCTGAGTAGTTGGGATTACAGGTGTGTGCCACCACACCTGGCAAATTTTTGTATTTTTAGTAGAGACAGGGTTTCACAATGTTGGCCAGGCTGGTTTTGAACTCCTGACCTCAAGTGATCCGCCTGCTTCAGCCTCCCAAAGTGCTGGGATTACAGGTGTGAGCTACTGTGCCTGGCCAACATCCAATTTTAGATCATTTCCATTACCGCACCTCTGTGTCTACTTGCTATGGTGATCCCCTTTTCCATCCCCAGCCTGGGGCAACCACCTTGTTCTGTCTATAGATTTGCCTTTCCCCATAATTTCAAATACATGGAATTACACAATATATGTAGCGTTTTGTTCACAACATAAGTATATAGGTTTCTTTCACTTAGCATAATGCTTTTGAGCTTCATTCATGTTATGTATCAGCATTTTGTTCTTTTATGTTGCTGAAATGCATTTCATTGTATAGATAATACCACATTTTCTTCATTCATTGATAAATTGATGGACATGTTTGGATGTTTCTACGTTTTGGCTGTTATGACTAATGCTGCTGTGAATATTTGCCTACAAATCTTTGTGTGGATATATGTTTTCATTTTTCTTGGGTGATTCCTGAGGAGAGGAATTGCTGGATCTTATGGTAAATTCGTGTTTTTAAGAAACTGCCAAACTGTTTTCCAAACGGAAAATAGCCAGTAATGTTTGAACTTACCAGTTGTTCCACAACCTCACCAACACTTGGTATTGTCTGATTTTTTAACTGTAGCCATTCTAGCAGGTGTGCAGTGGCATTTCACCATAGTATTAATTTCAGTTTCCTAATGGCTAATGATGTTGAGCATGTTTTCCTCTGCTTTTTTCATATATCTTTGGTGAAATGTCCATTAAAATCTACCCATTTTTTTGATTGGGTTATCATTGAGTTGTAAGAGTTCTGAATATATTCTGTATAAACAGTCTTATCAGATAAGTGATTTGTAAATATTTTCTCCCCAGTCTGTAGCCTTTTAGTTTTCTTAGTGGTGTCATTTGAAGCTCAAAAGCTTTTAGCTTTGATATGATGTATAATTTATATATATTTTTTCTTTTTTGGGTTATGCCTGTCATACCCAGGAACTTTTCGAGTATCCCAAGATCATGAAGATTTTCTTCTGTTTACTTTTAGAAGTTTTAATGTTACAGGTCTGTGATTCATTTTTAGTTCATTTTATATACGGTGTGAAGGAACGGTCTAAATTCATCTTCTGGTGTGTGTATATCTAATATTCTGAGCATCATTTGTTGAAAAGACTATCCTCATTGAATCACCTTGGGACTCTTGCTGAAAGTAAATTGACTGTAATTATAATGGCTTATTTCTGGACTGTTGATAGTTCTATTAATCTACGTGCCTGTCTTATCCTAGAACCATACTGTCTTGATTACTGTAGCTTTTTAAGTATTGAAGTCAGCTAGTGTAAGTTTGCCTACTTTACTTTTTCAAAATTGTTATGGCAATTTTGAGTTCTTTGAACTTCCATAAAAATTTTTAGTGGCAGCTTATCCATGTGAACAAAAAATTCTCATAGAATTTTAAAATTATTTTATTATTTTACTTCTTTTTTTTTTTTTTTTAAAGAATTGGGGTCTCACTTTTTTCACCGAGGCTGGGATGCAATGGCACAATAATAGCTCACTTTAACCTCAAACTCTTGGGCTCAAGGGATCCTCCCACCTCAGCCTCCCAAGTAACTGGGACAGGAACCACCACACCCAGCTTATTTTTAAATTTTTTTGTAGAGACAGGTTCTCACTGTGTTGCCCAGGCTGGTCTTGAACTCCTAGCCTTAAGTAATTCTCTTGCCTCAGCCTCCCAAAGTGCTGGGAATACAGGTGTGAGTCACCACACCTGGCTGAAGGTATTGGAAACACCTGCTAAAATCCTTCAGTTTGATGCTCTCCCAACTGAGTTATTTTGGCTTGCTCCTCAGAATTCTGATTAGAATTGTATTGAATCTGTAGTTCAGTTTGGGGAAAATTGTCATTTTAACAATATTATCTTGCAATCCATGAAAATGAAATGACTCTATATTTATTTGGATATTCTGTAATTTCTTTTTGAGACGGGGTCTCGCTCTGTTGCCCAGGCTGGAGTGCAGTGGTGCCATCTTGGCTCACTGCAAGCTCCACCTCCCGGGTTCATGCCATTCTCCTGCTTCAGCCTCCTGGTTAGCTGGGATGACAGGCGCCCGCCAGCACGCCTGGCTAATTTTTTTGTATTTTTAGTAGAGACGGGGTTTCACCATGTTAGCCAGGATGGTCTCAATCTCCTGACCTCATGATCCACCTGCCTCGGCCTCCCAAAGTGCTGGGATTACAGGCATGAGCAACCGTGCCCGGCCCGATATTCTGTAATTTCTTTAAGCAATGTTTCATAATTTTCAGGGTATAAGTCTGGAGCTTCTTGCCTTAAATTTATTTGTAAGCATTTTAATCTTATGATGCTGTTTTGAATTAAACTGTTTTTTTTTCCATGTAGTATTATGCTTTAATGGTTCATTCATGTTGTAGCATGCATCAGTACTTTATCCATTTTTGTGATTATGTAATATTCTTTTGTGTGGCTATGGATATACTACATTTTGTTTATCTACAGTGTGTGTTGGTGCATATTTGGGTTGTTCCCCTTTTGGCTATTATGAATGGTGCTGTTATGAATATTGACATACAAGTTCTTGTGCAGACAGGTATTTTTGTTTCTCGTAGGTATACCTAGGAGTGGAATTTAGGTGGGAAGTTTTTTTTTTTTTATTGGAGATTTAGAGGGTGTGTATGTATGTACATATATTTATGTTTTTAAGGTTCATCCAGGTTGTAGCATGTATCAGTAGTTCATTCCTTATTATGGCTAAATAATAGTTCATTGAATGGATATGAATATACCACATTTTGCTTATCCATTCATTAGTTGATAGACATTCAGATTGTTTTTGCTTATGGCTGTTATGAAAAATGCTTCATTTGATCCTTTTTTATAATTTTGATTTATTTATATTTGCTATTTTATGAGTCATAGTCCTTTTAATTCTTTAATCATGTTTTCCCTTGATAATATGAACATATTTTTAATAGCTGCTTTGAAGTTTTTGCCAAGTCCAACATCTTTGTTCCCTCACAGATAGTTTCGATTGACTGGTTACCTCCCATGTTTGGGTCACATACTTTCCTGTGTCTTTGTATGTCCTGTAATTTTTTTTTGTTGGAAAATCTATATTTTGGATAATATACGATAGAACTCTAAGTTCTGATGTTTTTTTTCTTCCTGAGGATTCTTGCCATTTTATGTTAGTGTGTTTAGTAACTAATACTTTTTGTTAGTGTGTTTAGTCCATAGTAAATCTGTGGAGTCCATTTCCTGTGAAGTGTGTGACTGCTGATATCTCTGCCCAATATTTAATTCTAATTTTATTTTTAAGCCAGGCTATATAGGGGTTAGACCTGTGTCAGCATAGCTTTGTGGTCAGCCAGTGCTCGGTCATTGCTTGTGCTTAAACACCTGTGCCATTATATGCTTTCCTTTTAATGCTGATGATTTTTTAATGTGTTTTCAAAGTCTCAGCTGTTTTAAAATTTGCCCTGGCTTTTACTTTCCTCTGAAGTCTTGAATTTCCTCTGTGCCTGTGCACTGTCTCATGGTTTGCCAGGTATTCGTGGATAGCTTGACCCCTCTCTGGTCTCTACACAGATGGGTAGTGAGCTTTATGAAGACCCCCTGTGGCTGTGTTATTTTCTGGATCTCCCTGCTGTCTGGTCTTTTCCTGACTGCAACTTCAGGTGTGCTGAGCCATCACTTTTCCTTGCCATATATTTGGCCCTGAGATTGCTACTATTATTGACAATATTTGGGGTGGATTTTTTTTTTTTTCTGTGCTTCAATCCAAATCACATTAGCCTCCTCAAAAGTGAACCTGCTGGTTTTCAAGACTTGCCTTGCCCTTATATAATTACTGTGACCACTCAGCTGGGATGGGGGTTGGGAGGAACTGAGGCAAGAACATCACAGACGTCCATAGTTCTTACCTGTGGTTCTGTGGTTTCTCGGTAACCACTCTTTCATTTGCTTTATGCTTTTAGTCAATTTCCAGAGCCCTCAATGGTGGTTTTGACAGATTTCTCCAGATTTATAATTGCCTTTTGGGGAAAGCATTTGCTGGATCTCCTCACTTAACTATACCAGAAGTCCTTCCCTGCTAGACTCTTCATTAACAGAAAAACTTTGAGATACTATATATCCCAAAATTTCTATGAAATTTTTTTACTGCATACTCAGAAACACCTAAAAGGTTATTTTTGAATTAGAAGTTTAAAATTAGGATTGTGGCATTATTTTACTGCTACATCCCTCTAGTTCCTGTATAACAGTTTTTGTTGTGTTTCATTAAATATTTGTTCTTTCCTATTTATTTTTTATAACAGTGTTTGTTAAACTAGGTAAATAAAATATTTAGGATTATGAGCTAAAACATTTTGCATTTTAAATTTTATCTTACAAGAAGATCTTATGTCAACTAATAATAAACATTTATTGAGTGCCTACATTGTTCTAAATACTCTGTGTGTATTTTTTATTTTGCATGAAATATGTAAAATAAAATAATGTCTTAGTTAGAAGACATTTTATAGGTCGGTAACTTAAATCGCACACCTAGTGGTAGAAGAGGTAGTTAATAGTTGAAAGATACTTTGTTTTAACATTAACTTTATCTTTTGACATTCTCTAGAATACTTGGAAATCTTGATTTGGTTTGGATATTGTTTAAAAGATGGCTTAGTCTAGAATAGATATTCTTTTTGGAGAAAAGTTCAAATATAAGCTGTAATCTGAATATTGTAATAAAGTGTAGAATAAAGTAATACAAATTGTCGCTCCTAAAGAGAATAATCATTTTTAAGGTTTTAGTTCACATAACACTAAGGGAAGTAAAATGTGGTAATTTGAGAGGGACCATTTCAAATTTCTGTTCCTTAAAAACAAGCTGACAGAGAAGGGACTTCTGATTAGGTAAAGATAGTAATTGAGTTTTTTTTGTGCTGAAGTAGAGAGGAAATGGGGGCTTGTAATTCTTTTGAGCTTTATTATTCTGTTAGTAGTGTTTGGAGGCATAGAACTGTTGGTAGAAGGTAGAGGGGAAGGTATTAAGGAGCAGAAGAGCTATTGTTTTAATTATTTAAGGATTATAAGCTCTTCTATTGTGATTGGAGCATACATAAAGCTATAGCACAGCATCATACCACCACTACTTGTCTGGTGATATCATTCTCTAGCTGCATGTAGAGTAAGATTAACTTTCTGAGGCGTGAATTTGCAAACCTAAATAGGGAATTAAAATGATAGCCACATAGAGAAATCAATTTTATATTTATTTTTTATATCTTTAAAAAATATCTCTACTAAAAGTACCTTAATTTTTTTTGTTTTACCTATATTGTATACAAGTGGTTCTCAAACTTTTTTTTTATTTTTATTTATTTATTTATTATTATTATACTTTAAGTTTTAGGGTACATGTGCACAATGTGCAGGGTAGTTACATATGTATACATGTGCCATGCTGGTGTGCTGCACCCATTAACTCGTCATCTAGCATTAGGTATATCTCCCAATGCTATCCCTCCCCTCTCCCCCCACCCCACAACAGTCCCCAGAGTGTGATGTTCCCCTTCCTGTGTCCATGTGTTCTCATTGTTCAATTCCCACCTGTGAGTGAGAATATGCGGTGTTTGGTTTTTTGTTCTTGCTATAGTTTACTGAGAATGATGATTTCCAGTTTCATCCGTGTCCCTACAAAGGACATGAACTCATCCTTTTTTATGGCTGCATAGTATTCCATGGTGTATATGTGCCACATTTTCTTAACAGTCTATCATTGTTGGACATTTGGGTTGGTTCCAAGTCTTTGCTATTGTGAATAATGCCGCAATAAACATATGTGTGCATGTGTCTTTGTAGCAGCATGATTTATAGTCCTTTGGGTATATACCCAGTAATGGGAAGGCTGGGTCAAATGGTATTTCTAGTTCTAGATCCCTGAGGAATTGCCACACTGACTTCCACAATGGTTGAACTAGTTTACAGTCCCACCAACAGTGTAAAAGTGTTCCTATTTCTCCACATCCTCTCCAGCACCTGTTGTTTCCTGACTTTTTAATGATTGCCATTCTAACTGGTGTGAGATGATATCTCATTGTGGTTTTGATTTGCATTTCTCTGATGGCCAGTGATGGTGAGCATTTTTTCATGTGTTTTTTGGCTGCATAAATGTCTTCTTTTGAGAAGTGTCTGTTCTTGTCCTTCGCCCACTTTTTGATGGGGTTGTTTTTTTCTTGTAAATTTGTTTGAGTTCATTGTAGATTCTGGATATTAGCCCTTTGTCAGATGAGTAGGTTGCGAAAATTTTCTCCCATGTTGTAGGTTGCCTGTTCACTCTGATGGTAGTTTCTTTTGCTGTGCAGAAGCTCTTTAGTTTAATTAGATCCCATTTGTCAATTTTGGCTTTTGTTGACATTGCTTTTGGTGTTTTAGACATGAAGTCCTTGCCCATGCCTATGTCCTGAATGGTAATGCCTAGGTTTTCTTCTAGGGTTTTGATGGTTTTAGGTCTAACGTTTAAGTCTTTAATCCATCTTGAATTGATTTCTGTATGAGGTGTAAGGAAGGGATCCAGTTTCAGCTTTCTACATATGGCTAGCCAGTTTTCCCAGCACCATTTATTAAATAGGGAATCCTTTCCCCGTTGCTTGTTTTTCTCAGGTTTGTCAAAGATCAGATAGTTGTAGATATGCGGCGTTATTTCTGAGGGCTCTGTTCTGTTCCATTGATCTATATCTCTATTTTGGTACCAGTACCATGCTGTTTTGGTTACTGTAGCCTTGTAGTATAGTTTGAAGTCAGGTAGGGTGATGCCTCCAGCTTTGTTCTTTTGGCTTAGGATTGACTTGGCGATGTGGGCTCTTTTTTGGTTCCATATGAACTTTAAAGTAGTTTTTTCCAATTCTGTGAAGAAAGTCATTGGTAGCTTGGTGGGGATGGCATTGAATCTGTAAATTACCTTGGGCAGTATGGCCATTTTCACGATATGGATTCTTCCTACCCATGAGCATGGAATATTCTTCCATTTGTTTGTATCCTCTTTTATTTCCTTGAGCAGTGGCTTGTAGTTCTCCTTGAAGAGGTCCTTCACATCCCTTGTAAGTTGGATTCCTAGGTATTTTATTCTCTTTGAAGCAATTGTGAATGGGAGTTCACTCATGATTTGGCTCTCTGTCTGTTGTTGGTGTATAAGAATGCTTGTGATTTTTGCACATTGATTTTGTATCCTGAGACTTTGCTGAAGTTGCTTATCAGCTTAAGGAGATTTTGGGCTGAGACAGTGGGGTTTTCTAGATATACAATCATGTCATCTGCAAACAGGGACAATTTGACTTCCTCTTTTCCTCATTGAATACCCTTTATTTCCTTCTTCTGCCTAATTGCCCTGGCCAGAACTTCCAACACTATGTTGAATAGGAGTGGTGAGAGAGGGCATCCCTGTCTTGTGCCAGTTTTCAAAGGGAATGCTTCCAGTTTTTGCCCATTCAGTATGATATTGGCTGTGGGTTTGTCATAGATAGCTTTTATTATTTTGAAATACGTCCCATCAATACCTAATTGAGAGTTTTTAGCACGAAGGGTTGTTGAATTTTGTCAAAGGCCTTTTCTGCATCTATTGAGATAATCATGTGGTTTTTGTGTTTGGTTCTGTTTATATGCTGGATTACATTTATTGATTTGCATATATTGAACCAGCCTTGCATCTCAGGGATGAAGCCCACTTGATCATGGTGGATAAGCTTTTTGATGTGCTGCTGGATTTGGTTTGCCAGTATTTTATTGAGGATTTTTGCATCAATGTTCATCAAGGATATTGGTCTAAAATTCTCTTTTTTTGTTGTGTCTCTGCCCAGCTTTGGTATCAGGATGATGCTGGCATCATAAAATGAGTTAGGGAGGATTCCCTCTTTTTCTATTGATTGGAATAGTTTCAGAAGGAATAGTACCAGCTCATCTTTGTACCTCTGGTAGAATTCGGCTGTGAATCCATCTGGTCCTGGACTCTTTTTGGTTGGTAAGCTATTGATTATTGCCACAATTTCAGATCCTGTTATTGGTCTATTCAGAGATTCAACTTCTTCCTGGTTTAGTCTTGGGAGAGTGTATGTGTCGAGGAATTTATCCATTTCTTCTAGATTTTCTAGTTTATTTGCATAGAGGTGTCTGTAGTATTCTCTGATGGTAGTTTGTATTTCTGTGGGATCGGTGGTGATATCCCCTTTATCATTTTTTATTGCGTCTATTTGATTCTTCTCTCTTTTTTTCTTTATTAGTCTTGCTAGCTGTCTATCAGTTTTGTTGATCCTTTCAAAAAACCAGCTCCTGGATTCATTAATTTTTTGAAGGGTTTTTTGTATCTCTATTTCCTTCAGTTCTGCTCTGATTTTAGTTATTTCTTGCCTTCTACTAGCTTTTGAATGTGTTTGCTCTTGCTTTTCTAGTTCTTTTAATTGTGATGTTAGGGTGTCAATTTTGGATCTTTCCTGCTTTCTCTTGTGGGCATTTAGTGCTATAAATTTCCCTCTACACACTGCTTTGAATGTGTCCCAGAGATTCTGGTATGTTGTGTCTTTGTTCTTGTTGGTTTCAAAGGCATCTTTATTTCTGCCTTCATTTTGTTATGTACGCAGTAGTCATTCAGGAGCAGGTTGTTCAGTTTCCATGTAGTTGAGTGGTTTTGAGTGAGTTTCTTAATCCTGAGTTCTAGTTTGATTGCACTGTGGTCTGAGAGATATTTTGTTATAATTTCTGTTCTTTTACATTTGCTGAGGAGAGCTTTACTTCCAAGTATGTGGTCAATTTTGTAATAGGTGTGGTGTGGTGCTGAAAAAAATGTATATTCTGTTGATTTGGGGTGGAGAGTTCTGTAGATATCTATTAGGTCCGCTTGGTGCAGAGCTGAGTTCAATTCCTGGGTATCCTTGTTGACTTTCTGTCTCGTTGATCTGTCTAATGTTGACAGTGGGGTGTTAAAGTCTCCCATTATTAATGTGTGGTAGTCTAAGTCTCTTTGTAGGTCACTCAGGACTTACTTTATGAATCTGGGTGCTCCTGTATTGGGTGCATATATATTTAGGATAGTTAGCTCTTCTTGTTGAATTGATCCCTTTACCATTATGTAATGGCCTTCTTTGTCTCTTTTGGTCTTTGTTGGTTTAAAGTCTGTTTTATCAGAGACTAGGATTGCAACCCCTGCCTTTTTTTGTTTTCCATTTGCTTGGTAGATCTTCCTCCATCCTTTTATTTTGAGCTATGTGTGTCTCTGCACGTGAGATGGGTTTCCTGAATACAGCACACTGATGGGTCTTGACTCTTTATCCAATTTGCCAGTCTGTGTCTTTTAATTGGAGCATTTAGTCCATTTACATTTAAAGTTAATATTGTTATGTGTGAATTTGATCCTGTCATTATGATGTTAGCTGGTTATTTTGCTCGTTAGTCGATGCAGTTTCTTCCTAGTCTCGATGGTCTTTACATTTTGGCATGATTTTGCAGTGGCTGGTACCAGTTGTTCCTTTCCATGTTTAGCGCTTCCTTCAGGAGCTCTTTTAGGGCAGGCCTGGTAGTGACAAAATCTCTCAGCATTTGCTTGTCTGTAAAGTATTTTATTTCTCCTTCACTTATGAAGCTTAGTTTGGCTGGATATGAAATTCTGGGTTGAAAATTCTTTTCTTTAAGAATGTCGAATATTGGCCCCCACTCTCTTCTGGCTTGTAGAGTTTCTGCAGAGAGATCTGCTGTTAGTCTGATGGGCTTCCTTTTGAGGGTAACCTGACCTTTCTCTCTGGCTGCTCTTAACATTTTTTGAATTTTAAAATAATAGTCTATTTCTAGGGCAGTTTAGGTTTATAGAAAAATTGTGCAGAAAGTACAGAGTTTTCTCATATATCTCTTCTTCCTCCCCAGCCCCCAGTTTCTGCCATTAAATATCTTGGGTTGGTGTAGTACGTTTGTTACAGTCGATGAGATATACCTATTGTTTTTTTTTGAAAACACTTGTCATCTAGTTTAATAGATTAGTATAGTCGTTTCTGTACATCTTTACACATACTTAATTGGGATAACTATTTTTTATTTAGTGTTGTTTATGCTCTTAATGCTAATGAAACACAATTGCTCTTATCTCTTTAGGGTGGAATAATTAATGATAGTTCTGAATTAATTGGTCCTGCTGAAGCTCACTCAGATTCCCTCATTGATACCTTTCCTGAGTGTAGTACGGAAGGTAAGAGATTTTAATTTTTTTGCATTTCAAAGGTTTGGATTACAGAAGACTATAAATCATATCTGCATTGCAAAAAGACAGATGTATATAGGAATTTGAGGGTATTTCACTGATTCTAAGATGCTTTTTTTCTTTACATTTTATTATCACTGATGTTGGGTGCATGATATTGGGTCAGGCATATCTCATATTTAATTGGCAGCTTTTTTTTTTCATAGTGGTATATAAAATAATGATTCATCCTCCAATTAATGGTATCTTAGAATTGATGAAATATGGTATAATGAGTAGTTCAGAATTTGTATTGTCTAGTGTAAGAAGGCCTTACTTGGCCAGGCATGGTGGCTCATGCCTGTAATCCCTGCACTTTGGGAGGCTGAGGTGGGTGAATCACCTGAGGTCAGGAGTTTGAGACCAGCCGAGCCAACGTGGTGAAACCCTGTCTCTACTAAAACAGAAAAATTAGCTGGGTGTGGTGGCAGGCATTTGTAATCCTAGCTACTAGGGAGGCTGAGGCACAAGAATCGCTTGAACCTGGGAGGTGGAGTTTGCAGTGAGCTGAGACTGTGCCACTGCACTCTAGCCTGGACAACAAAGCAAGACTTTGTCTCAAAAAAAAAAAAAAAAAAGCCTTACTCATTTCTTTAGCGCATCTGACTTTTAGAGAACTAATTTCAAGACTGGCTTTAGAGATTTAGTCATTTAGCCACAAAGAATAAACCCTAAGGCAGTTTTAATGTTTTTGATATGTTTTTAAATAAAATGAGTCTAAATCAAGTTTTAATCACTTTCATTCAAGAATGCTTAATCTCTTGTTTTATTCTTCTATTAAGGTACACTTGAATTTATACATTTCAGCCTTTGGATTTCTGTAACTAGTTTTTTTTCAGGGAAGGTTACGGAAAAAAAAAGATTTGGGGGCAGGGGTAGGAGGGATTTTTAAAATCAAAATAGATAATTAGATTTGTTTTAGGTGGCTTAGGTTTGGTTTATTAAAGGTAAAATAATAAACTAAATAATATTGCTTATCTCTTTCATGAGTAAGAGTTTATGGTGGAGGAGGATGCTTTATGAGGATGAGGTAGCCATCATCTCATTGTAGTGTTGTTTTTGTGAGGGTATGTACTCCTGTCATACAGCAGCAGCCACACTAACATAAATCTCTTGCAGTAAATTTCCATCGTGATTTGGTAAGAGCAACGTGTTCTTATTTATTATGTGGGCTGGTGCACTTAAGTTTTTTTTTTCTTTTGGTACTACCGTATTGAGAAGTGGTTAGCTTTTATTCTTTTTCATTGTACTTTCCATTGACTTAGCATCTATTTATTTAAACTTAGTGTTCTGTGTAATGCATGGGGGCCACATGCCCAGGGGTCTTCACTGAGTTCTCAGTATCTTTGACTCCACCCTGATTCTGCCAGGGTCATAGAAAAACATTGTTGACAGTAATTTTACTTTATAATCTATTATTTTTTTTGTGTGTGTGTCGGGGGCGGTGGTGGTAAAATATCTGTTCTTTGTGACCTATTTTAATCAGAGATCCTTGCGAAGGTTTGGAAAATCTAGTCCCTGCTTGGGATCCCAATGTGATTCTAATAGAACCAGTTTCCTCGGAAGGTGACTTTTCTGTATAACCTAAGCTGGCTGTTGCCTCAGTTTCCCTACTCCTGAGAAAGAGGAGTGCACATTTTCCACCTGATTCCATACTGATTCTGTGAGAACAAGTAGGAGAGTTAGAAATATTTGTAGGAGAGGCTGGGCATGGTGGCTCACGCTTGTAATCCTAGCACTTTTGGGAGGCCAAGGCAGGCGGATCACTTGAGGTCAGGAATTTGAGACCAGCCTGGCCAATATGGTGAAACCCTGTCTCTACTAAAAACACAAAAATTAGCCAGACAAGGTGGCTGGTGCCTGTAATCCCAGCTACTTGGGAGGCTGAGGCATGAGAATTGCCTGAACCATGGGGGTGGAGGTTGCAGTGAGCCAAGATCACGCCACTGCACTCCAGCCTGGGCATATATATATATATATATATATATATATATATATATATATATATATATATATATATATATATATATATATATATGAGAGTATTCAATGAGGAGTGCAATAGTCAGAAATGCAGAATGTTTCTTTTCTCTATTTTTTTGATACAAGAATCAAAGGTTCTGTGATATGGGAGTAGTTATATTCTTCTGATATCTATAATAAGCTTCTGTTACTAGGTGGGAGTCAACCATGGTGAAAGAACGGTATCTTAGGAGCCTATTTTAGTATAAGGCAATCATGGATGCAAGCTCTGCAGAGATCTTTCTGTTCTTTGCTGTAGTCTAGGCCAGAAAGGGAGAAGCATGATTATTAGGAATGAGGTTTCTTGGGATGGTATTCTAAAATACTGATGCTGTTCAAGGTGAACAGATGGCTGTATTAATGCTAAAGGAGACACAACCTAAAGCTAGGGTGAGCATGTAGTTTATTCTCCAAACTGGGACACTTCTGAGAATTATAGACAGTGCTATTAATAATTATACCAAGACCACAAACATGACACAGGACAGCCTCAGGCAAACTGAGCTGTAAGGGTGACCCTTCCTAAAGCAGTTGTTTCAGAGTTTACCTCTGAAGTTTCAAAAAGATGTGTTTTCTTTGGAAGGATTTATCTTTTAGGAATGTGCTTTTATGAGAGAAATTGGGGCTAACATTTCTGTCAAAAACACGGAAAATGACTTATGACATCTAAAAGGAATATTGACATTTTATCCTGTCAGTGCGGTTTAGTTTTTCAACTATGTTACCATCTCTGAAACACACTGTGATCCATGAAGAATGAAAACCATGGAACTGGAAATGCTGTTAATGGTTATGTTGTTTTTCTCCCCTCCCTTTAAAAGTTGCATGCCTGGCAAATTAATCCTGCTGAAAGATATTAGGTTGATAAATACAGATAGATCAAAGTGTCAGACAGCTTGCAAATTCATTGTTATTTGAGAGGGAAAATGGCTTTTAAATATCGTAAGATTGTTTGGCATAGTGGGAAAGTGGAAGATTTACTTCATACCAAAAGGTCTGCAAACTCTGGAGACAACCAGGGAGAGGAACATCTAGTAGCAAAAGAGCAGGAAAGCCAGCAGCCAGCCAAGCCCCACAGGTACGCAGTGAAATGGAGGGTTGTTAGAGGGATCGTGGTGACAAATGCTTGTGTTTTGGATTTAGAGCTAAAATGTGAGGAAGTGATTCACCCCATGAAAACTTCTCTAAATGTACTATTTTAAGCCATGTTTTAAAGGTGGATTGTCATTTTTCATATTTGTGAATTAGCTAGCTGGTGGAGTGAGGCAGAGGGGGTAAATCTTAATATATAGTCTGCTGTTTCAATGTTCTTTAGTTACAGTTAGAGTGACATGGCAAGTTGATCACTTCTCAGAGAACAGAGGTAGAGGTGAAGTGATCATTATTTTTGTTAATATCTTAAAATGCAGTCAACAGATCCTAATATACTTTGAAATGAAAGTTTTCTGAGGAAAACATGACGATCTGGGTGTCTGTTTATTTGTTTTGTGATAGGGTCTCACCGTGTTACCCAGGCTTAGTGCAGCCTTCATGTCCTGGGCTCAAGTGATTCTCCTTCCTCAGCCTCCTGAGTAGCTGGGACTACAGGCAGGCACAACCATGCCTGGCTAATTTTTCTTTTTAAATTTTTTGTAGAAATGGGGTCTCACTGTGCTGCCCAGGCAGCTCTCGAACTCTTAGACGCAAGTGATTCTCCTGGCCTTGGCCTCCCAAAGTGCTCGCATTATGGGTGTGAGCCACTGTGCTTGGCCTGTTTTTTAAAATTACAGTTACTTTGTAGTAGCATGGGATAGAGAAACCCCTTTAAGGTTTTGTAAAAAATAATTTGGTGATAAACTGGTAAATATAGTTTGTTTAATATGAAATTGAAAATTAAGAAATTATTTGGTAGGTTTTTAAACAAAATATTGTTTTACATTTTAAAAATGAAATCCTGGTTACTCTTTATCTCCTTTGTTCAAAGAAGTTAAACTATATTTTTTCAAAGATGAAAGAAGATGTAATTGGTTGCTAACATCTTATTTCTATTATGTCTATTTCAACTTATGTCTTTTCCTTGAATTAAATTTAGCCGTGAAGTTACTAGGACATTTGTAGAAACCTGCCCAAATCGGTGCATATCAGTTGAGCTCCTTGACATATTTCTCTCACCTGTTGGCCTTTTTGAAGGGTGTAGATTGCTTTGGTGCCATGCTGGCCTTGATATCAGAGACTTGGATGTTGGTATAGTCTCATCTGGTAACCTGTGTCATTTCCTCTTCCTAATACATCACTTTTCAGTTTGGGGAGGGACATTTTTTCTGGTTCATGCAGCAAATGAGAGAAAATAATTAGGTAATTGTAACCACAAAGAAAAATTGAATGATCAGCTTATTGTATGTAGCATATCTTAAGAATGAATATGCTTAAATGTCTTCTGGAATAACAAAATCTACCCCCACCTTTTTTTGGCTGGAAATTGTGAATTAAGAACTCCTCAAGTGCTTATTGTAACTATTGTAGAGACACGAAAGGATCTATTAAACTGTCTTGAATTAACTATTTTAAAGTAAATGAAATGTGCATTTTGAGGATAGCATCTATTGCTCGTCTTTGTAACGGATCCCTTAAATGACATTAAGGTCAAGATTTGTATGTTTATTTGATGGCAGGTGGGGGTAGATTTTGTTATTCCAGGAGACATTTAAGAATATTAATTCTTAAGATCTGCTACATGCAATAAGCTGATCACTCAATTTGTCTTTGTGGTTACAGCCACCTAATAATTCTTTACGGTGTGTAGACAGACATGAAGATTGTGATTAAACTGTGTTAAATTGAATGGCGTTGATTATATTTAAAGCACTGGTTGGTCTAATTGGAAAGGTGTATAGTTATTTAAGTTTGAAAAAAATCTGTATCGAAATACCATTTATTTTGTCTTATTATTTGTGTTATTTTCATTTAATAGATTTAAACTTGACACTTTGAGGCAAGATCATTTTAAATAGGAATATTTGTCACATGATTGGTTACTTAATAACCTAAATCTATTTTCAAGACAAACTTAAAGTCTATTTACTACATAATATAGTGTGAGATGACAAAATACAGAAAGTATTAAATATTAATTTAAATGTAAATTTATAGAAAGTGCAAGTAATTTAAAGTAAAATTAAGTGCAAATGTCCACTAGGTGGCACCATAAGAACTCTAAATCTTGTTACTGGTATTTTTCTAGGCCCTTTGGTGTTATGTATGTTAGAATATCTCTTGCATACTCAGCTTGAAGAGATTCTTTTTTCTGTTATGTGCTTATTTACCCAACTTATTTTTATTCCCTGCCCCCAGTTGAATTTTCCTTGGTAGTGGAGCTTGACAAAAACAACAGGTCATTTTTTCCCCCCAAGATAGCCACAAATGAGAATGTACCAGTGTGTGTAAATGATACACATGACACTGATGATAAATATTGACTCTTACAAATTCTAGGGCTATTGAGGATAATATTGGATATTAGGAGTTTAGGGGTTGGGTGGGACAAATAACAGAAAATTCATGGTATGCCATGGGAATCATTATAAATGATACACTTAAATGTCTTATTTCACAATTACAGAGTTTGAATTTCAGAGAAGTTTAGCCATGTGCCGAAGATACTCCAGGTATTTGATAGCACTCACAGAACTATATTTTGAAATGAAGAGATTTCATTTTATGGAGGGGAGGCGGGGAGAAGACATATTTGGTATAGAAAACTCAGCATGAGCTACTTGCATACTGGTAATGGGCTTGATGTCCTGGAGGCTAGAGAAAGTTATGGAGAGTAGCAGAGTATAAAGTTCATTTGGCAAAAAATGAAGCCAAGTGATGGATCTTTATTATGATAAGATAGCAGTATTAGGGTTGTAATTAAGATTGCTGTGTTGTTTTCTGGGCTTATTTTGTTGTTTTACCAAATCTGTACGAGGTATTCTGAGGCTCTTTTTGTACATTTTCAAGGATGAAGCATAATAGACATGACCCAAGAACGTTATAAAAATGTGAAACTTCAAAGGAAAGGTTCTTTTTTGTAACAATAGCTATTACTAAATGATGAATAGGGAATCACATACAGGAATCTTAACTAGCATTAAGCTTTGGATTTAGGTATTCACTTAAAATCATATTTATAAGGGCTTCTTTCTTAATGGAAACTGGTATGTATGTCTTCTACCTTAGGGTAACCTTTGTTCTACTGGCTAGATAACTTGCTTTGTGCATGGCGCATGAGTCATTGCTACTAGGAAAAATAGAAATTCCTTTTTGTTGACTATGGCAATATTTGAACCTCAGGGCTCAGTGAAAGCTATCAGCTAATAATAATGAGGCCATGTATTTTATATATAGTCACCCATGAGAGACCACCTGTTGTTCTAAAGGAAACCGATCTCTTTTTACAGATGGTCTTCAAATACAGATTTCTGATAGTTTATAGTATAAAGATTTATTCTATGGCAACTCAACCTGTTCCCCTGGGGCCTGTCTTTCAGAGATGGTGTCCTAGACAGATTTCACTATACTGCCCTACTCTGAGCAGTTCAAAGCACAGAGGTAAGGGTAGGTAGGTGAACTGGGATGCTAAATAAACGCCTATGTCTGTAGCTGCTTTTTAACAAGTCACCTGGGGCCCTCTAATAGCCCTGAGACTTGAATTTCTGTGATACGAACCTGGAGGCAGAACGCTTTCATAGAACCTTTGACTTTTTCCCCTTGTATCACTTCCAAAAAAAGCTTAGGTTTTTGCCTTGATGGTGTTGGTGAAGGATGCACCTTTTACTCTTGCGATGGCCCAGAGGGCCTCTTTAAGTATGGGGTTGACTTCAGGTTGGTTTAACTTTTGACAAATAGTCTCTGTATTATGTCAAATGTCAGTGATTGCCCTGCCTTATCCACAATGTCCTTCCTACCTAGACTGAGAACCTGTCACTTGCTTGTTGCTCCCTATATCTTTCTTGTTAACTTTCTTTCTGGGCTTCAGGGAGCTAGTTTGCGTTTCGTATGATATTTATATATAGTTTTGTATGAAATAAGTTGAATTGTAGTGTGATTTCTAGGAGTTGAACAAGCACTGTATTAAGCAGATGTGTTAAGTATATAATATAAATAAACTAGGCATTGAATATTTACATATAATATGTTTATAAATAAGATTCATTGCTGTGGTGGTGAAAGGAGTTTTTAAATGTTATCTTCCTCGAGCTGGCCGGAGAATACGTCATTGAGAAGAAGGGAATTTAGAAACTGCTTAAATATGGAAGAGAAAGATATCAGTGAGTACTAGAAGATGATTGGTTGCATTGTGTGGTCGAGGAGATATGGTAGGGTTAGGCTTTTCAGGCATGGTAAGATGCAACTTCAAGAGGATAATTAAAGGAATAAGGTGGGCAAGGAAGAGGTGTCAGGGGTTTGCCTGCTTTAAACAGATCTGCCTTTGTACTTGTGTCTAACTCCTTTTTTAAGTTTGGAATTCTTGACGCTAGCTGCTGGTTGATCCATAGAGGTTTATATTTCACAAATGATGCCTGTATAACTTTCTTTTACTCAGATAAATTCCCAATATTGGCCCTTGATGCATCTCTTTTGATATCTTTCAGATACTGAACTTAAGGGCTTACCATACACAAAGTATATTATTAAATTCTATATTATAGAATTACCTATAATCTTACCATACACAGAAAATCACTGTTAATAGTGTATGTTTCTAGCCTTTTTTCTGTGTGTGTTTGTTTTTAAAGTAGAATTAAGTATACATACTCATTTGTAGTTTGTTGTTTTTGCATAATATAAGACACTTTAGCATTAAATATTCTATAAAATGATTTTAATAGCTGTATAATATTTTATCATAAGGAGATATCATAATCTATTATTAGGAATTTGTTATTGCCACATTTTTACTAATTTTTGTGATGGACAGATGGACATTCTTGTATGTAGATCTTTTTTGTACACCTCTGATAGGTTTTGGTATAAATTGCTGAATTTCTGGGTGAAAGAAGCAATTTTGCGCTTTTGATATGCATTGGCAAATTGTCCTCTAAAAAGGTTAAAGTAGATGTCTTTTTATTTCTCTTTGCTTCTTCTGGTTTGGCTATATAAATTTCTCTTTTTTATCTGCTTGTGTGTGTGTGTGTGTGTGTGTGTGTGTGTGTGTTTGCTTGCTTTTAAAGATGCCGAATTAAGAAATTATTTAGAATTTGAAAAGGAATGCTTTGTATAGAATGTTTATTTACTTAATCTTACTATCTTTCTCTCTAGGTATTTTAATGGTCTTACTTTTTTGATCTAATCTCATTTAATCATGATTCTCATTGCTAATAAAATATGATTTGAAAGGTAAGAGGAAATATGACTATGGTACCAGTTTTTTGTGGTCAAAAGCCAAGAAACAGAGTATACATAACTTTGCCCGCTTGCCCTTTGGTGTTATTGTTATTGTTAAAAGGAAAAATGGGGCAAAACATGAAACAGAACAATGTGATAGATGGTGTGAAGGTTATAGTGACAAGATACCAGAGAACAGACAAAAGAGATCTCTAATACAGCATTTCCTTTCTTTTGTGATTAGCTATATAAACCAGAACTTTTTTCAACCTTATCTATTTGTTTATCAGTTTCAATGGGCTAGATTATATATTGGCATCATTTAAGGAAATAAGTTTACATTGAAATACATAAAATATTTAAAATGACAAGAAAAATCTCATAAAATTTATATATATTTCTTAGGATAGTAGATAAATAACTGTAGATTGCTATAAAAGATTCTTATTATGAAGTACTGTTACTGTCCGTATGGCTGAAATGTCAGAGGACTGAAAAGATTTTCACTAGGCTCAATGAATCTCATTTGAGATTGTCGGTTTAATGAAATCTGTTGCTTTTTGGGAATAGAATTTGTTCTTTTGGGGCATTCTAAGAAGTTGAAAAAAAGTTGAAAATGAGGATATATATTGACAGGGTGCCAAAGCAGCATCTAAAGCTGATTAGAAATTTGAGCTTAGTGGCCAGTAACATGTTTTTACCCTAACTTACTTTATTTGATATGAAGTAGGCAATTTGAATTTAAAATAGGGGTTGGCAAAACTATGTTCTATGGGCTGAATCTGGCCTGCCACCTGTTTTTGTATGGCCTGAAAACTAAGAATGGTTTTTGCATTTTTAAATAGTTAAAAAAATTAAAAGAATATGATTTTGTGGTTTTGTGATGGGAAAATTATAAGGAATTCACACTTCAATGTCTGTAAATAAAGTTTTACTGGAACACAGCCATGCTTATTCATTTATATATTGTCTATGGCTGCTTTTGCACTACAATGGCAGTGTTGAGTGGTGACAGAGACCACATATGGCCTGCAAAGCCTAAAATATTTACTTTCTGGCCCTTTATAGAAAAAGCTTGCTGATCCCTGATCTAGAATTGTATAGTCTAATCCACTTTTAATTTTGATTTAGTATATAATCCTGAGGATATCATTTTCTTTTTAATTTTTTTTTCCTGAGAAACTTGGCAGATAATGTTCAGTGGTGAATGCAGATCTCAGTTATTTCCAAACTAGTTTTTATATAACTCTGTTGTCAGTCTTATTTAATGGTATAGATCACTGGCTCTCAAATGTAATCTTCAGATCTCTGGGTGTTTCTGAGATATTTTCAGGGAGTTCATAAAGCAAAACTGTTTTGATAATAATGCCAGGACATTCTTTGTCTTTTCACCATATTGACATTTGCCCTGATGATGCAAAAGCCATGGTAGGTGAAACTGCTGTGCTTGGGCATGAATCAAGGCAGTGTCACCAAACCGTAACAGTACTCATTGCACATACTTATAAAACCAATGCTAATTTTTCCTAAGTAGTAGAAACTGTTACATTTTGTTAAATCTTAACCCTTGTCACTTGTCTTTTTAATATGCTGTGTGAAAAAATGAGAATTATACATAAAGCACTCTGCATACTGAACTACCATGGTCGTCTTGAGGAAAAGCACTTATGCAGTTGTTTGAGCCATTAGCTGAACTAGCTGCTTTTTTCATGGGACACCATTTTGCTTGAAAGAACAATTAACAAACTGTCATTATTCAGACTTGTGTATTTGGCACTTTTTTTCTTGAAAGGGAGTGAAGTAAGCTGACACTTCAAGGAAAACAACTGATATTATTTGTTGCCAATCATAAAATTGGAGTTTTCAATTCAAAATTAGGATTTTCAGATAACCTCTGTCTGCCACTTTGGGTTTGACAGTTTCCCAATACTTAGTTTTCTGATGAGATTGGTAGATAATGAAATGTTGACATATGATTTTTTGGGATAATGAAATGTGCTGTCAACATTTCGAAGATCTTTATAACTAAGGGAACCAGTATTTTCAGGATGACCAATGTGTGATGTTATAAATTCATGCACAGATAAAAGATCCATTCAGTGTGCAAGACAGACCAATGGATTTGAATGTAACAGAAACAGAAATTTCATTCATAGGATTTTATATTCCACATTACAACTAAGCTTTAAAAACCTATCACTTGTTGAGTTTTGGTGTAGTATCAAAGAACAATATTCATAATTATTTGAAAAGGCTAATACTTGTTTCTTTTTCAGTTACATTATCTATGTGACATTTCCTTCATATCTTTCATCCAAAACAACATATGACAACAGATTGTGAGCAGAATCAGATATGAGATTCTAGCTATCTGCTGTTAATCCAGACATTAACAAAAATGTAAAACAATGTAAAACAGTGCAAAAATGTAAAACAATGCCACTTCTTTCACTAACTTTTTTTGTTTTGGAAAATATAGTTATTTTTCATAAAAATTATGTTAACATGTAATGGGGCTTTAATGCTTTATTTTATACATTTCTAGACTTCTTTTGTAAATATCAATATTGGTATTTAATAAATATTCACAGATACAATTCACATGAACAAAAGCTTTTTAGAGTCCACAATCATTTTGAAGAATATAAAAGGCTGTCCTGGGAGCAGAAAGTCTGATATGTATTGTGGATCGTGCTCATTTACCATGATGTCAGTTATATGAACTAGGAGAAGGAATTTTCACTGCTAAATAATTCAGTAGCACCTATTACCTCTTTTTTGTCTGAAAACTAAGGTGGAAATATACCTTTCCAGAAGCTTGTAGAAGAGGCTGAGATGAAAATGTCTAAAAATTCAGTTTTTAAAAAATGCTAAATAGCATACATTTTCCAGTTACGGATGGTTACCTAAAAGCACACTTCTGAGGACGCATTGTGTAGTTGTTATATAGTTACAGGTTGAGTATCCCTAATCTGAAAATCTGAAATCTGAAACACTTCTGTCCCGAGCATTTCAGATGAAGGATATTCAACCTGTTTATGTAATTGTTATAAAAGTTATAATATAATGATAGTCTATTATGCTTTATATGCATTAACTCTATTCCTCATTTAAAGACTTGCATAATAAGTAATACTATTAAGTAACCTGCTGTTGGTCACACAGTAAGTTTTAAGAGCTGGCGCTGGGCTTGGTGGCTCATGCCATCTAAGCTACTCGGGAGGCTGAAGTGGGAGGATTGCTTGAGCCCACGAGTTGGAGTGCAGCTGGGCAACATGGCAAGATGCTGTTCTCAAAAACAAAAACAAAACAAAAAAAAGAGAGCTGAGATTCAAGTGCTTTTTCCTTTATTAAAATGCTATTATTTATAGCAACTATGTGTACAGGCAACAGCTTTCTGTAAATAGCTTACAGGATCTTGTGGTAAAGGCTCTTTTTGGCAACCAAACTAGATAAAGATTTGTCTTCAATTTTAGTTTGATGATTAAGGCAAGAAGTTGTCTTCCAGAGTTACAGAGAGACAGTAAAATGAATGGACTAAGCCTAAACAAATTGCTAGACACTGACTTCCATCAGTAAATTACAGCCTTCCAAATTGACTTGGATAATATGAAAAATGAATAATTAGCATGATTTGTATTCGTTTGGCTGATTCTCAATTTAATATCTGTTTACTATTGTGATCATATTTCTAGGCTTCTCCAGTGACAGTGATCTGGTATCTCTTACTGTTGATGTGGATTCTCTTGCTGAGTTAGATGATGGAATGGCTTCCAATCAAAATTCTCCCATTAGAACTTTTGGTCTCAATCTTTCTTCGGATTCTTCAGCACTAGGGGCTGTTGCTTCTGACAGTGAACAGAGCAAAACAGAAGAAGAACGGGAAAGTCGTAGCCTCTTTCCTGGCAGTTTAAAGCCGAAGCTTGGCAAGAGAGATTATTTGGAGAAAGCAGGAGAATTAATAAAGCTGGCTTTAAAAAAGGAAGAAGAAGACGACTATGAAGCTGCTTCTGATTTTTATAGGAAGGGAGTTGATTTACTCCTAGAAGGTGTTCAAGGTATGGTTTTATGTATATTATGTTTTGGCATGCTCTTTTGTTGGTATGTGGGAAAAAAAAGTACATACATATATCTTCTGTATAGTCTTATGGAAATAATACTGAAAATGAGAAATTACTGAAGCTTAAAAGACCTATATATGGATATATACTTTAAGTTCCTTGAGATGTTAGACATTATCGGAGGTACTTAACCCTCTACTTTTAATCAATTAATCCACAAAAACAGGATTTAAAAAAAAGTCAGCATGTCTTGAAGTCTCTTGTATGAATAATAATCTTTCTTTTCTGATTTGAAAAGGCAGTGTTTTACCGGCCTTCATCTCTCTCAGGAGTAATTCACAGAGATTCTTGATGACCTGAAGAGACAAAATGAAATGGATTTTTAAACTAAGAGCATAAAAGATTCTTGGGTTTGCCGACTATTCTGTTCTTTGTAGTTGTAGTAAATTCTCATTTAATTAATGGAGGTGATGTGGGACATGTAGAGCTGACTGTAACTGAATGTCTGTATATAGAACTTACTTTTTTGAAGTATCAGCTATTGTTTTAACCCTTAAATTTTTCCTTATAAAAGCAGAATGAAGCATTCTGCATTTAGTTGCATGACTTTTTGGATGCAGTAATCAAAGATTGATATTGACATTCTTCCAGTGGTTTCATTTACAGAAGATCATCATTTTCATTGTTCTGTGGTCTTGGGTTTGTCGGTACCATTCAGATTACCAGTCTCCTGTATTACTAACACTTTTTACTACAGTACTTCTCACTATGCCTAGTATCCTGTAGTCCAGAAGCCTTTTGTTATTTCTGGAGTATAAACTTTCAGTTTTATAAAATGGTGTACCTGTCTGTATATGGAGGGTCCTAACTGCTTCTTAACCAGGATTTTGACCATTTCTCTTGTTTTTAGGTTTCACTCCCATTTCCTAATGCCACCAATTCCTGAATTTTTGGAGAGTTTTACCATGCCATGTAAATCAGGCAACTTTCTTGATTCCCTTTTAGTAACTTCTCATCCATCTACCTTTTTTTTTTTAAATTATATTCCATGGCAGCTTTTATATTCTAAAATTTTGTTGCTGTTACCTTCTCAGTTTCTTTATTCTTGTGGGGTTTTGTCTTAAAGAAATTTTTGACTGCCATGTTAATAGAGTTTCTGGAGGGAGAATAGCTAAAGAAATGTGTTCAGTTTGCCATCTTCAACTGGGAATTCAGATTTCACAATTGATACTTAATTTCGGTGGGCCTGAGGATCAAACAGCGATTAATGTTTTGTGTGTATAGCAATAAGAGGAGATGGAGTCTTGTTTCTTTTTTCATTAGTTATTGTCTTACTAAAGTTGCTTATATAACCATTTGGAACCTGTTAACACAGTTTCAAATAATTGATTCTAAATTCATTTCTCATTAATTTTGTCATCTTGATATGATTAATATTAGCTATCACTTTTAAGGTTTCTAATTGATACCTAATTTTGAAGTTACTTGTTTTCTTGCTTTGATGGAAAGATCATTTTCACCCTAATTTTATTTTTCAAATGGTTTTATAATGTTAGGTTTTTTTTTTTTGAGATAGAGTTTCATTCTGTCACCCAGGCTGGAGGGCAGTGGTATGATCTCAGCTCGCTGCAACCTTTGCCTCCGGGGTTCAAGTGATTCTCCTGCCTCAGCCTCCCTAGTAGCTGGGACTATAGGTGTGTGCCACCATGCCGAACTAATTTTTGTATTTTTAGCAGAAACGGGGTTTCACCATGTTTGCCAGGCTGGTCTCGAACTACTGACCTCAGGTGATCTGTCTGCCTTGGCCTCCCACAGTGCTGGGATTACAGGCGTGAGCCACTGCACCAGGCCATCTGTTGGGTTTTTTGTTTGCTAGTGGAGCATTCTGGTCTTAAATATCTATTCATTTTTATTCTTTGCCTTAACTCTCATTTTGGGTTGGGAGTTTAAAATGGGTATGAGTTATAAAAAAATCTGCTCTGACATTTTTTCCATTTGTTTTCAGAGAATTATGTGCTAAAACATCACTGGTGTTTAATTGACACAAATAAAACACATCAGTGTGGTCAGTGTGACATTTTTTAAGTTATTTGCATTTAATCTTAGAACATTTCATAATGTTACCACTTGATGGCACCAGAAAAATAAAAATCTGTGCTTCAAAATGAGAATTATAGATGCATGTCAGAAAATAACAAATAATGTGTCATTTGGTTAGTTACTTTGCTGATTATGGTGGTGAATTATTTCTCCACTAGAACTTGATACCAAACCTACTAGACTGCTATCTTAAGGAACATTACCATTTAACCATGTATCTCCTATTTAATGCATGTTTGTCTTTTTGAAAGCACAATATCCATTCCTGCTCTGGATTGGTTTCTGTTATTAATATGCCACAATTCCAGAAGTTAATAACTGACTAAATTGATTTTAGTCTTTTATTGTTTATTCATAATGTGATCAATTTTTATTCAGACAAACTATGGGAACCACAATCATAGAATTCTAATTTTTAACCAGTATATAAAAGAACCTTTGTTTCAGTCCTCCTGGTTACACATTTGACCCTGTGTCAAATGTAAGATCAGGACAGTGCTTCCAGTCCATGGATTCTGTACTAGCATACTAGTCACCACCTAACAGACATATGGACATTGTCCTTCAATTTCTGGGGAAACTGGGGGCTCTAGTTATGAGCTTGATTTGACCTTTATTTTCAGAAGAGATGTTTCCTTGGGTAAAGTTTGTTCTGGGGTAACAAAACTGTTAGTGAAATATCTCTATAGCCAGTAAAACGTATGAATCATTTAAATTGAACTCTTCATAACATTTGTTCTTGTGACCTTTATTGGCATGGATTGGCATGCCTTATAATAAAATAAGTATTTCTGGATATCTGATAATACAGAGAAAATAATCTTTCAGAGCTAAGTAATGCTTTATACAAAGATTCTTGTGGGTTGGCAAATTTTGTTATTTTGTTACTAAACTATTCATCCTAAAGAAGTTTATCTGGGTTGTTAGTAGGTCTGATAAAGATGGCTTGATGTTTTTCTTATTTAACTGGTATTTGCACAGCTGAGACCACATGCAAAACACAATAGCAACAGCTCTCTTTGCCCATCCGGCAGAGAATAAGTATACCCTGATAGTGGTAACTTTGAATTCTCTTTGAACCTGACACTTCACTTACTCCCTCTTAGAAATGGTTCTTGGAATGAAAGGACTGTCTACTCTTCTAAATTCTCAGGTCTTTATGGATTTAAGAGAGAAAATCCAAAAGTCAGAGTTGAAGGAATCAACTTGAATTTTTGAAAAGGATGTTGCAATATATATATCACACTTTCCTGTCCATCTTGTTTATATATTACTGAAAGTGGCGGATATGATTAATCTATGTGTGGGCTTATTGGAGTGGTTGTGGTAATATAGAGTGGTAAATGGATTACATAAAGGTATCAATAAAATGTTTAAGTAATTTATTACATGCCTGTCACTGTACAAGGTATTTTTCTTACATTATTTTTAATCTTCAAAGGAACCCTATAAGTTGAACTATGACTGGCCATACTGGACTTTGTCTAAGGACACCAAAATTTAGAGGGTGCAAACATTTAATATAATGATTCTAAAAGCTTGGCACCTAGTTAGCAAGAATAATTATTTAAAACAGGAAGCTACCAGATGGCGAGCATTGTTAGTAACACCCATCTGTGGGCTACATCATGAATTACAGAGTCGATTTGAGAGCTGGTTTTGTGTAGTTTGTTCCAGGTGCCAAAAGTACTGGTTTGATGTCTTTGTAAGGTAGATATTGTGATCCCTGTTTTATAGGTGGAGAAAACTAAGACTTACATAAATTAAGCAATTTGCTCAAGGACACAAACTAGTGAAAGTTGAGCTACGATTTTAATCTAGGTCTTTCTGAGCCTAAATCATATTTTCTTCGTATTGTGCTATGCTACTTCTCACATGTTCCTCCTAATTAGATTAGCATTTTAAGATGGAGAAGTGGGAAATCCTCTCCATTGTAGAATATTTGAAAACTTTCTTATTTTGAGTATTTGTCATTTTTCCTTCTATCCATTTGTTTGTTTTCACTCAGCCATCTATTCATCTAGTTGATCTTTCAACAAGCATTTATTTCTTGTATGTAGCAGGCCCTGTAATAGGGAATATAAAATGGTTATTTTCTAAAAATATAGAATCAAATTGAGTGACGGCCCTTCAAGATGAGATGTTTCTGTCAACTTAATAGCATGCTAATATGACCCATGATTTTGTAGTGTATATCTTGTTGAAAATATCTGGTAGATTTGCTGCCATAGTTATACCCGTTGCTTTTCACTTAACTTGATGTTGATGCCACACTTAAAAAATACCCCATTATTTCCCCCTGCCCTTCTCACTCTTTTTCTTTTCTTCCTCTCTCATTTTCTTCCTTCTCCTCTCCTTCCCTTTTACCTCCTTTCCTCTCCTCTTCTCTTCTCTTGCATACATTATGAGTGACATTTCATAATGTATTTCTGGATATTGTTGATATCCAATTTTTCTTTGAAGATTTTGTTGATATTTTTGACCAGTGAGACTATTTTTAATGTTAGTACTCAGATTAAGAGATGCAAACATTTTCATTCTGGTAAATGGTATAATAAGCAGTACCAAACCATTTTTTATAGTTTATTCTTGGGTAGATATGTGCTAGGCTATCAGGGATGTCCAGACGTATTTCAGACACCATGACCTTGTATGGAGCTTGGACCATTGATTTATTCCATGAATAAGAGTTACTCAAATATTTAGAAACCCAAAGGATAAAGTTTTTGGCTTTGGAAATAGATAGATAATATGAAAAACGTAGTAAGTTTAGGTTTGATAAAGGGAAGCAAGTCATGTGATTTTGGTATTTAGGGAATCTTAGAACCAATCCCCTGTGGATACTGAAGGGCAACTGTATAAGATTATAATTCTGAGAATAGAGGTAGTTTTCCTTCTTCCTTTTCAATTTGGATGGCTTTTATTTCTGTTTCTCACCTAATGCTCTGGCTAGAACTTCCAGTACAATGTACAAGAACATTGGGAAAGCAGACATTCTTGTCTTGTTCCTGATATCTCAGGGGGAAAGATTTCAGTCTTACCGTGGAATATGATGTTAGTTGTTGGTTTTTCATAGACGCCCTTTATCATGTTGAAGAAGTTCTATTCTATTCCTAGTTTTTTGTATGTTCTCTTGCAGGGGTGTTGGATTCTGACAAATGCTTTTTCTGCATCACTTGAAACAATTGTGCTTTTTTTCTTCTTTGTTCTATTAATGTGGTATATTACATTGCTTTTCTTATATTGAACCACTCTGGAATTCCTAGGATAAATCCCACTTGCCACAGAGATTTTTATCTTAAGTTTGAACCCAGTTGTGCCTTTTGGTATCTCTTGTGTATTTTGTTTATCATTGTAATATGGTTGGAAAAGAGGGACTGCTTATTGAGGTATGAGCCTTCTATCCGTCTCTGTCTGGAAGTTGAGATCTTATTTTTCAATAGGGAGGAGTATTAAACAAATACAGAATATTTCTTATTTTATTTTATTTTTTCCTTCAGTTGTGACCTGTGACCTGAATGTCATGAAAATTTTCCACAGCTTTTTCTGTTTTAAAATAAAATGTGTACTTTTCACTATGATTTAATAAATTGCCTTAGTTGAGAATTTTTCAGATCTTAACTGTTTTGAAACTGGCTAGAAGGAAGCATTTTAAAACAGTCTAATTAAGATTTTTAAAAATAGAGATTTGAAATGATTTAAATATGCCACTTAGTCTTCTGTCTTCCCTCCTCATCAGCATTCTGTTTTTTCCTTTCTTTAGTTGATCCAGGAAGTGTCTGCCAATAGGAGTCAGCAGTTACTAATGCAGTGAACTCAGAAGGAACTATTTCATAGGTTCAGAGAGAAGACTTACAGATTCTCTGTTCTCAATATTCACAAATGAAAAGAGAGTTGCTTTTTAAATTATCCTATACTCAGGTAATTCTCTTTCAGGTTTTGTGTTAAGACTAGATTTTCAGCTCCAGGTAGCAAAATCGTAACCAACTCAAAGAGGCTCACATAGAAAACATTGTTTTAGTCCATCTGAAAAAGAGTGTTTTATTCCACTTAAATGATTACATATAGCTCAATTCAGGTGTTCAAGAAATGCCAACAGGTCTCTGTCTTTTTATTTGCCTGTCTCTGTTCACACCCTGTATTTGCTATCCCCTTTCTCTTATTTGATTTTATCTTCATGGCATGAAAGGTAACCCCTGACTAGCTCCAGGTTTACAAAGACTTTGTCCTCAGGATCCTGGAGGAAGAGGGTATTTTCCCTCATAGCTCCAATAAAAGCCTCAGGGAGGATTGGCCTGGCATGCGTCACATAGCTTTCACCTCTGTCTTTGTAACCTGATTAGGCATAGGTTATTTGGTCATCCCTGGGAAGGTGGACAGAGCTATCCCTGATGCACTGCATGAACTGAACGGCATAACCATGGAATGTGGAAGGAGTGGATCAAAATGAGGAAGGGATGTTAGGCAGAAACAAAAAAAAAACACATTGAAATGTTATCTTCTGCTTATCTGTCATGGCCCAACAGTGCCGTTTATTATCCTTTCTCCCCTGGCCTTAAAAAACAAAAATGATTGTTTTGGTTGTTCATGTGTGTTCTCTTACATGTTTCTTAGATGATAATTCTCTAGAGAACCGGCATGGTATCTACTTTTTTTAAACTTTTAACGGAAGTATATTATATATACAGAAAAGTAAATATCATAATCATATAGCTGAATGTATTTTCACACATGGGACACTCCCATGTGACTGGCATCCAGATCAAGGAGCAGAATTTGGCCAGCACCATAGAAGCTTCTTCATCTCCCCTCTTCAAAGGAAATTATTATTCTGATCTTTAACAGTGTTGAGTGCAAGAGGTCTGCTTTTTCTTTTAAGAAATATTTTGGAGAAGGAGTCTTGCTATGTTGCCCAGACTGTCTTGAACTGGTCTCAGGCAGTCCTCCTGCCTCAGCCTCCCAAAAAGCCAGGACTTCAGTGTGAGCCATGGCACCTGGCTCAGGTCTGCTTTTTTCTATTCCCATTCCTTACAAGGGCAGGGTTCCAGTTTTGAGAGCCTGCTTTCTGTTGTTTCCACCCTCTTCTCTGCAATTTCCATTATGGATGATGATGGGGAATGGGTTGGGGTCTTGTTTCTCTTTTATTTCTGTAGGATCCTGACCTTTCTCTCATTTTCTTCTTTCCCTTTGGCCTTTCACTGCCACACCTTGAAGGGGTATCACTCATTTTCTATATATCTGATTCTTCCCCAGTAGGAAGGCTTTACCAAGGCTCTCACTTTTTATTTTCTTCACTTTCGAGCCTATAAAGCCTGTTTTTTTTATTTTTAAATTTTATTTATATTTATATATTTTTTTGAGATGGAGTTTCACTCTTGTTGCCTAGGCTGGAGTGCAATGGCGCAATCTCGGCTCACCACAACCTCTGCCTCCCAGGTTCAAGGGATTCTCCTGCCTCAACCTCCCGAGTAGCTGAGATTACAGGCATGTGCCACCACGCCTGGCTAATTTTGTATTTTTAGGAGAAACGGTGTTTCTCCATGTTGGTCAGGCTGGTCTCAAACTCCTGTCCTCAGGTGATCTGCCCACCTTGGCCTCCCAAAGCGCCAGGATTAGAGGCGTGAGCCACCGTGCCTTGCCAAAGCCTGTCCTTTAACTATCAGATGCCAACCTGTGTTTGGCATTTAGTTGGGCTTCCTTTTTCTGTTTTGTTTGTTTGTTCGTTTGTTTTTTCCTGTGCTTTGGTTTAAGTCCAGTTTGCTCTCTCTCTCTCTCTCTCTCTCTCTATATATATATATATATATATATTTTTTTTTTTTTTTTTTTTTTTTTTTCCTTCCCCCCACCCCCACCAAGGGATCTCTTAAGCTTTTCTTCCTCTGGTCACCACATCCATTGGCTTACAATAGGGGGCCCTGGGAGTGCTGTTGTAGTTTGGTTGGTTTTTCTATTTACAGATAATCCAAAGGTCATGGTATCTTTGTTTCCTAGTGGTGCTGAAAATGTGAGCCATATGTGGATTTATTTGTGCTCTTGATTTTTTGTTTGTTTCTTGAGAGGTTATGTGGAGACATTTGAAATTTGGTGGCCATTGTTGTCCTCTAGGCCCAAGAGTTCACACAGATTGATTTCAGAATGTTCAACAACTTTTGTATGCCTAAAATAAACTTTACTTGGTTGTGATATGGATTATCCTTTTTATATATCATTGGATTTAATTGCTAATATTTATTCATTTATGTACAGGCTTACCTTGTTTTGTTGTACTTTATAGCACTTTGCAGATTTTTTTTTTTAAAACCAAATAGAAGTTTTGTGGCAACACTGTATTGAGCAAGTCTTTTGGGGCCATTTTCTTTTTTTTCTTCACAACTTTCATTTTAGGTTCAAGGGGTATATGTGCAGGTTCGTTACATAGGTAAATTGTGTGTCACAGGAGTTGGTGTGCAGATAATTTTGTCACCCAGGTAATCGGTGTAATATTTGGTAGGTAGTTTTCCAGTCCTCACCCTCCTCCCACCCTTTACCCTCAAAGAGGCCTCAGTGTCTATTGTTCCCTTCTGTGTCCATGTGTACTGAATGTTTAACTTCCACTTATAAGTGAGAACATGCAGTGTTTGGTTTTCTGCTCCTATATTAATTTACTTAGATTATGGCCTTCAGTTCCATCTTTTGTTGCTGCAAAGGCCATGATCTCATTTTTTTAAATAGCTGCTTAGTATTCTGTAGTATATCTGTACCATATTTTCTTTATCCAGTTCACCGTTGATGGGCATCTAGCTTGATTCCGTGTCTTTGTTATTGTAAATAGTGTTGTGATAAACATGTGTGCATGTGTCTTTATGGTAGAATAATTTGTATCTTTGAGCATATACCCAGTAATGGAGTTGTTGGATTGAATGGTAGTTCTATTTTCAGTTCTTTGAGGAATCTCCAGACTGCTTTCCACAGTGGCTGAACTAAATTACATTCCCACCAGCAGTATATAAGCATTCCATTTTTTCTGCGATGTCACTGGCATGTGTTATTTTTTGACTTTGTAATAACAGCCATTCTGACTGGTATGAGATGCTGTCTCATTGTGGTTTTGATTTGCATTTCTCTACTGATTAGTTATATTGAGCATGTTTTCATATGTTTGTTGGCTGCTAGTATGTCTTCTTTTGAGAAGTGCCTGTTCATGTCCCTGCCCATTTTTTAATGGGGTTGTTTTTTACTTGTTGATTTGAGTTCCTTATAGATTCTGAATATTAGACCTTTGTCAGATACATAGTTTGCAAATATTTTATCCTGTTCTATGGGTTGTCTGTTTATTCTGTTGATAGTTTGTTTTGCTATGCAGAAACTCTTTAGTTTAATTAGGCCCAGTTGTCAGTGTTTTTGTTGCAAATTTTTTTGGAGTCTTTGTCATGAAGTCTTTGCCTGGGCTGATGTGTGGAATGGTATTTCCTAGGTTTTCTTTTAGGGTCTTTATAGTCTTAGGTTTTACTTTTAAGTCTTTAATCCATCTTTAGTTGATTTTTATATATGGTAAAAAGTAGGAGTCCATTTCCAATCTTTTGCATATGGTAGCCAGTTATCCCAGCACCATTTTTTGAATAGGCCATCCTTTCCCCATTGCTTGCTATTGTTGGCTTTGTCAAAGATCAGATAGTTATAGGTGTTCTGGGTTCCATAACCTAGAAATAAAGAAGGGTTTCATTGGTCTGTGTGTCTGTTTTTGTACCAGTACCATGCTGTTTTTGTTACTATAGCCTTGTAGTATATTTGAAGTTGGGTAGTGTGATGCCTCCAGGTTTGTTCTTTTTGCTTATGATTGCTTTGGCTATTCAGGCTCTTTTCTTATTCCAAATGAATTTTAGAATTTTTTTTCTTATTCTGTGAAAAAATGTCATTAATAGTTTGATAGGAATAGCATTGAATCTGTAAATAGCTTTGGGGAGTATGGTAATTTTAATAATACTGACTCTTTTATCCATGAGCATGGAATGCTTTTCTATTTGTTTGTGTCATATCTGATTCCTTTCAGCAGTGTTTTATAATTCTCATTGTAGAGATCGTTTACCTCCCTGGTTAGCTGTATTCCTAGGTATTTTATTATTTTTGTGGCTGTTGTGAATGGGACTGCATTCTTGATTTGGCTCTCAGCTTAGACGTGATTGATGTATAGAAATGCTACTAATTTTTGTGCATTGATTTTTGTATTCTGAAACTTTGCTGAAGTTGTTCATAAGATCTGGGAGCCTTTGAGCAGAGACTGTGGGGTTTTCTAGGTATAGTATCTTGCGAAGAAAGATGATTTGACTTCCTCTCTTCTTATTTGGATGCTTTTTATTTCTTTGTCTTGCCTGATTGTTCTGGCTGGGACTTCCAGTACTGTGTTGAATAGGAGGGGTGAGAGATGGCATCTTTGTCTTGTTCTGGTTCTCAAGGGGAATGCTTCCAGCATTTGTCCATTCTGTATGATGTTGGCTGTGGGTTTGTCATGGATGACTCTTATTATTTTGAGGTATGCACCTTCGATGAGTAGTTCATTGAGGATTTTTAACACAAAGCGATGTTGAATTTTATCGACAGCCTTTTCTGTGTCTATTGAGCTGATCATGTAGTTTTCATTTTTAGTTCTATTTATGTGGTGATCACATTTATTGATTTGCATCTGTTGAACCAACCTTACATCCCAGAAATAAATCCTACTTGAGCATGGTAGATTAGCTTTTTGATGTGCTGCTGGATTCCTTTTGCTAGTATTTTATTGAGGATTTCTGCATCTTACATTCATCAAGGATAGTGGTTTGAAATGTTTTGGTATCAGAATTATGCAGGCCTCATAGAATGAGGGAGGAATCCCTTGATTTTTTTTTTTTTTTTGAATAGTTTCAGTAGGATTGGTACCTCCTCATTTTTTTTTTCTTTTTTTTTTGAAACAGAGTTTCACTCATTGCCCAGGTGGGAGTGCAATGGCGTGATCTTGGCTCACTGCAACCTCCCCCTCCCGGGTTCAAGTGATTCTCTTGCCTCAACCTCCCAAGTAGCTGGGATTACAGGCGCCCATCACCATGCCTGGCTAATTTTTGTATTTTTAGTAGAGACGGGGTTTCATCATGTTGGCCAGGCTGGACTCAAACTCCTGACCTCAGGTGATCTGTCCGCCTTAGCCTCCCAAAGTGTTGGGATTACAGGCATGAGCCACCATGCTTGGCCATCCCCTCTTTTTTATACATGTGACAGAATTTGGCTATGAATTCATTTTGTCCAGGGCCTTCTGTTTGGTAGGTTTTTAATTACTGATTCAGTTTTGCAACTTATTATTGATCTGTTCAGATACTCAGTTTCTTCCTGGTTCAGTCTTGGGAGGTGGTATGTTTCCAGGAGTTTACCCATTTCTTCTAGGTTTTCTAAGTTTGTGTGCATAGAGGTGTTGGTAATAGTCTCTGAAGGTTTTTTTATTTTTATTTTTTGAATTTTTGTGGGGTCAGTAGTAATGTCCTTTTGGTCATTTCTGATTGTGTTTATTTGGATATTTTCCCTTTTTTTCTTTTTTAGTCTAGCTAGAAGTCTGAATCTTATTTGTTCTTTCAAAGAACCAACTTAAAAAAGTCGTTTGTATGGTTTTTCTCATCTCCATTTCATTCAGTTCTGCTCTGATTTTGGTTATTTCTTTTCTTTTGCTACCTTTGGGATTGGTTAGCTCTTGTTTTTCAGGTTTCTCTAGGTGTGACATTAGGCTGCTAATTTGAGATCTGACTTTTTAATGTGGATGTTTAGCACTGTTAACTTTACTCTTAACACTGCTTTAGCTATGTCCCAGAAATTCTAGTATGTCGTATCTTTTTTTTTTTCTTTTTTCATTAGTTTTGTTGGGTGGAGTGTTCTGTAGATGTCTGTTAGGTCTATTTAGTCAAACGTTGAGTTTTGGTTGTGATTATATTTGCTGATATTCTGCCTCAATTATCTGTCTAGTTCTGTCAGTGGAATGTTGAAGTGTCTCAGTATTACTGTGTGATTATCTAAGTCTCTTTATAGGTCTCTATGAACTTGTTTCGAGAATCTGGGTGCTCCATTGTTGGGTGCATATATATTTAGGATAGTCAAGTTTTCTTGTTGAATCGAACCCTTTATCATTATGTAATGCCTTTCCTTGTCCTTTTTGATCATTGTTGATTTAAAATCAGTTTTTTTTCTGGAATGAGAATGGGAACCCTGCTCTTTTTTGTTTTCCATTTGCTTGACAGATCTTTCTTCATTCCTTTACTTTGAGCCTGTGGGTGTTACTGCATGTGACATGGGTCTCTTGAAGATAGGATATAGTTGGGTCTTGCTGTTTATCCAACTTGCCACTCTGTGCCTTTTAATTGGGGCATTTAATCTGTTTATGTTCTTCTGGTTAAGAACCATTACTGGGGAGCTAGTACGGTCTTTTGGATGTAAGGAGACACTCTGGCTCCTAGAGTTGCCAGAGTTCTTGCACTGGTTCTTTCTCATCTGTGTGGGCTGATCTTCCTTTAACTGTGGTGTAATTTGAGTATAGTCAATTGGCTTTATTTCTGGATGTTTTCAGGTGGATGAAAGTTTGTAAAGGGTCTTTGCTTGTGGCTGATTTCTTGGCATTGGTTTCACAGGGTTGCAAAGTATTTTTGATGTTGAAGTTTGGGCTGCCATCCGGTAGATGGCGATTAAGCAACCACTACCCTGATCAGTCGGCAGCCAGCAACATAAAAGCAGTATTCCCTCTAACAGCAAAAAGATTGCGACTTACTGAAGGCTCGGATGATCGTTGTCATTTTTTAGCAATATTTTTAAATTAAGGTATGTACATTGTTTTTAAAGACATAATGCTATTGCACTCGTAGTACACTATGAATGGTGTAAACGTAATTATTATATGCACCGGGAAACAGAATGTGTGACTTGCTTTATCATCAAATTCACTTTTTTGCAGTGGTCTGGATCAGAACCTACAATATCTCCAAAGATATGCCTGTATATATATTTTTATTTTTCTTAGATTAGGTATATTTAGCAAATTTAAAAGTAAATTAGAGACATCGTGGCCTTTACTACCGTTGTGTAGTTTATATCTCTAGAATATAGGGTCATTCTTCTTCATATCCACAATATATTTATCATCCTTAACATATTCTATGGGAAGGATTTTAATAGTAGATTCAATTTCTTTAGTAGATATTCAACTGTTTTGTATATTTCTTCTTTCGTGAAACTCAGCAAGTTCTATTTTTCAAGAAATTTGTCTGTTTCACATAAAAGGTGAAATTTAATTGTAGAAGTGTTTATAGTGTCTCCTAATCTTTTGGATGTCTGTTGGGTTTTTCTGGATTTTGGTTATTTGTTATGTATTTTTTTTTCTTATTCACTCATGTTAGCATTTTATCAGTTTTTTTAATGTTCAAAAGAATTAACTTTTAACTTTTATTTTGCTGTTCTGTGTTTTCTATTTTATAGATTTGTATTCCTTTCTCATTCTACTTACATGAAGTCTGAATATTCTTTTTATTTTTGAGTTAGAAGATTACATCTTTGAGTTTCAGCCTTTTTTTAATATACATTTAGGATTATTAAATTTTCCATAAAGTATTTGTTTAGCTACCTCCTATAGATTTTGATATGTCAAACCTTAGTTATTATCAGTTCAAAATATTTTTCATGTTTTGTTTTCGTTTTTAAATCTCATTTTATTAGTTTTCTATTGGTGCTTTAACTACTTAACATAAACTTAATGATTTTCAAAACAAATTTTTAATTTTATTGTTTTGTAGGTTAGAAATCTGACGTGAACCACACTGGGCAAAAATCAAGGTGTGAGCAGCACCTTTTTTTTTTTTTTTTTCCTGGAAACTGCACATAAAAATAACTGTTTTCTTGTCTTTTCTAGCTTCTGGTGGCCACCTGCATGCCTTTGCTTATGGTCCCCTTTGTCCATCTCAAAGCCAGCAGTTTTGCATCGCTCTGACCATTCTTTCATAGTTACATTTCACAGTGATCCTCAGCCAGGAAAGGTTATCTGGTTTTAAGGAGCTATATGATTGGATTGGGCTCATGTGAATAATCTAGGATAATTGCCCTATATCAAAACCCTTAACCTTAATCACATTTGTAAAGTTTCTTTAGCCACGTAAAATAACATAGACACAGGTTCTGGGCTTAGGGCATGAACATCTTCAAGAGTCCCATCATTATTCTGCCTCCTGTACCTGTGAATTACTTAGAAGTATGTCATAAATAGCATAAGCATATTGTTTAATTTTCTGGCAGTTGGAGTTCTTTAGTTTTTTATTTTTTAGAGACAGGGTCTTGCCTTGTTGCTCAGGCTGGAGTACAGTGGCACAATCATAGCTCACTGCAGCATCAAACTCCTGAACTCAAGTGATCCTCCCACCTTAGCCTTCAGAGTAGCTGGGATTATAGCTGTGAAAAAATTCATAGAAATGGGAATCTTACTATGTTGCCTAGGCTGGTCTTGAACTCCCGTCCTCAAGAAGTACTCCAGCCCCAGCCTCCCACAGTGCTGGGATTATAGGTGTGAGCCACTGCACCTGGCCCCCTTTCTTGACCTTTCTAAGTCTACTTTACCAGCTTGTTCTTCCCCACTTGATCTTTAAATGCTGAAATTCATCGTGACTTGGTTATCAACCTTCTTAGGCTCTTTACCCTATTCTCCTTAGGTGATTTCAGGATTACATACTTTAATAACTGTCTACAACAGCAGTGTACAATAGCAATATCATATCAACACATATGTAATCCTGAATTTTCTAGTAGTCACATTAAAAAAAAAGATTCAGGGCCAGTGCAGAGGTTCACGCCTGTAATCCCAGAATTTTGGGAGGCTGAGGCAGGCGGATCACGAGGTCAGGAGATCGAGACCATCCTGGCCAACATGGTGAAAACCCATCTCTACTAAAAATACAAAAATTAGCTGGGCATGGTGGTGGGTGCCTGTAATCCCACCTACTCAGGAGACTGAGGCAGGAGAATCACTTGAACCTGGGAGGCAGAGGTTGCAGTGAGCTGAGATCGCGCCACTGCGCTCCAGCCTGGGTGACAGAGCAAGACTCCCATCTAAAAAAAAAGATTTATACTGCTGACCAAGATAGGTAACAGTCTTTCCTGAAGCAACTAAAAATACCAGACAATATATTTAACAATGATTTTCGAGACACTGGGCATCAGGTAATGAAAGACAGTGATTTCTGAGAGGAAACAAATGAAGTTAGGCTCATGATTGTCCCAGATTGCTGTCTTGAATTTCTAGGTTGTGGTGCAGGGAGAAGGAAGCCATTTGGATCCTGGCAGAACGTTCTCTCTGAGTTAAGAAGATGAAGTTGAGAGGCTAGGAAGAATGAAGTTAGAGTTTGTAGTTAGAGCTTGCAGGATACGATATTTAGAATTATTGCCTGATGTCCAGTGTGTTGTCTAGAGGAGAGATAATGGTACAGAGATTGGTAGTGTCTCCTGGAATATACACAGAGTACTCATTAGTGTATGCTGTGGGGAAACTACTCGAGACCAAAAAAGATATCCCAAAAGGATTACGAGACACAATTCTGGTTGCTCACACAGAGCTGGGAATAGTGTCTTCCTAAGAAGTAGTCTCAGAAACCTCAATCATGTGGCATTAGGTAGAATACATAGAAGGAGTAATAGTACTGTGGAATAATAATTAGGCCCACTCCCACAAGTCTTTTAAAAAATACATAATTTTTATTTTTTTCAATTTTTTGGTAGGTACATAGTAGGTGTATATATTTATGGGGTGCATGAGATGTTTTGATACAGGCATGCAATGTCAGATAAGTACATCATGGAGAATGGGGTATCCATCCCCTTAAGCATTTATCCTTTGAGTTATGAACAATCCAATTACACGCTATGTTTTTAAAAAATGTACAATTAAGTTATTATTGACTATAGTCACCCTGTTGTACTATCAAATAGGTCTTATTCATTCATTCTGTTTTTTTTTTTTTTTTTTTTTTTTTTTGGTATATGTTAATCATCCCACCTCCCTGTAACCCCCCCACTACCCTTCCCAGACTCTGGTAACCCATTCTTTTACTCTCTGTGCTCATGAATTCATTTTTTTTTTTTTTTAATATTTAGATCCCACAAATAAGTGAGAACATGCAATGTTTGTCTTTCTGTGCTTGGATTATTTCACTTAACACAATAATTTTCAGTTCCATCCATGGCGTCGCAAATGACAGGATCTCATTCTTTTTCATGGCTCAATAGTACCCTGTTGTGTATATGTACCATTTTTTCTCTATCTGTTCATCTGTTAATGGACACTTAGGTTGCTTCCAAATCTTGGCTATTGTAAATAGTGCTGCAGTAAATATGGGAGTGCAGATATCTCTTTGATACACTGATTTCCTTTCTTTGGAGTGTATGCGTAGCAGTGGGATTGCAATTTTTTTTTTTTTTTTTGAGACAGAGTCTTGCTTTGTCGCCCAGGCAGGAGTGCAGTGGCACGATCTTGGCTCACTGCAACCTCCACCTCCTGGGTTCAAACAGTTCTCCTGCTCATCCTCCTGAGTAGCTGGGGTTGATTACAGGCGCCCGCCACCATGCCCGGGTAATTTTTTGTATTTTTAGTAGAGACGGGGTTTCTCTGTGTCAGCCAGGATGGTCTCGATCTCCTGACCTTGTGATCTGCCCACGTCGGCCTCCCAAAGTGCTGGGATTACAGGTGTGAGCCACTGTGCCCGGCCGTGGGATTGCAATTTTTATTTTTTTTGAGGAACCTCCAAACTGTTGAACTATGTACAACATAGTGCTTGTACTAATTTACGTTCCCACCAACAGTGTACCAGGGTTCCCTTTTCTTCACATCCTCACCAGTATTTGTTATTGCCCGTCTTTTGGATATAAGCCATTTTAACTGGGCGGGGATAATATCTCATTGTAGTTTTGATTTGCATTTCTCTGATGATCAGTGATGTTGAGCACCTTTTCTTATGTTTGTTTGCCATGTGTATGTCTTTTGAGAAATGTCTGTTCATATCTTATGCCCGTTTTTTGATTGGATTATTAGATTTTTTCCCTATAGAGTTGTTTGAGCATCTTATATATTCTATTAATCCCTTGTGAGATGGGTAGTTTGTAAATATTTCCTCCCATTCTATGGGCTGTCTCTTCACTTTTTTGATTGTATCATTTGCTGTGCAGAAGCTTTTTAACTTGATGTGATGCCATTTGTCCATTTTTTGCTTTGATTGCTGGTGCTTGTGGGGTATAACTCAAAAAATCTTTTCCCAAACCAATATCCTGGAGATTTTCCCCAATGTTTTGTTGTAGTGGTTTTATAGTTTGAGTTCTTAGACTTTAAGTCTTTAATCCATTTTGATTTGATTTTTGTGTATGGCAAGAGATAGGGGTGTAATTTCATTCTTCTGCATATGGGTATTCAGTTTTCCCAGTACCATTTATTGAAGAAACTGTCTTTTCTTCAGTGTATGTTCTTGGCACCTTTGTCGAAAATGAGTTCACTGTAGGTGTGTGGATTTCTTTCTGAGTTCTCTATTCTGTTCCACTCATCTATGTGTCTGTTTTGATGCTGGTAGCTTGCTGTTTTGGTTACAATGGCTCTGTAGCATAATTTGAAGTCAGGTTATGTGATTCCTCCAGTTTTCTTCTTTTTGCTTAGGATCACTTTGGCTATTCTGGATCTTTTGTGGTTCCATATAAATTTTAGTGTTGTTTTTCTATTTCTGTGAAGAACGTCATTGATATTTTGATCAGGATTCCATTGGATCTGTAGATTGCTGTGGGTCATATGGACATTTTAACAATATTGATTCTACCAATCCATGAACATGGAATATTTTTCCATATTTTGATGTCCTCTTCAGTTTTTTTTCATCAGTGTTTTATAGTTTTCATTGTAGAGCTCTTTCACTTTTTTGGTTAAGTTAATTCTTAGATATTCAGTTTTATTTGTGACTGTTGTAAATGGGATTACTTTTTAAATTTCTTTCTCAGATTGTTCACTGTTGGCATATAGAAATGCTACTGATTTTTGTACATTGATTTTGCATCCTGCAACTTTACTGAATTTGTTAGCAGTTCTAATAATTTTCTTGTCTCTTTAAGTTTTTCCAAATACACGGTCATATCATCTGCAAACAAGGATAATTTGACTTCTTCCTTTCCAGTTTAGATGCCCTTTATATCTTTCTGTTGTCTGATTGCTTCTAGTACTGTGTTGAATAACAGTGGTAAAAGTGGGCATCCTTGTCATGTTCCTGATCTAAGAGGAAAGGCTTCAGTTTTTCTGCATTCAGTATACTATCTTTGGGTCTGTCATATATGGCTTTTATTAGGTTGAGGTGTGTTCCTTATATATCCAGTTTTTGAGGGGTTTTTATCATGAAGGGACATTGAATTTTATCAAATGCTTTTTCAGCATCCGTTGAAATAATTATTTGGTTTTTATCTTTCATTCTGTTGATATGAGGTTTCACATTGATTGATTTGCATATGTTGAGCCATCTTTGCATCTCAAGGGGTAAATCCCCCTGGTCATGATGTGTGATCTTTACAATGTATTGTTGAATTCAGTTTGTTAGTATTTTGTTGAGGATTTTTGCATCAATATTTATCAGAGATATTGGTCTATGGTTTTCTTTTTTTTGGATGTGTCTTTGTCTGGTTTTGATATCAGGGTAATACTGGCCTCATAGAACGAGTTTATAAGTATTCCCTCCTCTATTTTTCAGAATAGTTTGAGTAGGATTGGTATCATTTCTTCCTTAAATTTTTGGTAGTATTCAGCAATGAAGCCATCAGTCCTGGGCTTTTCTTTACTTAGAGATTTTTTACTATGGCTTCAATCTCATTATCTGTTATTGGTCTGTTCAGGTTCTGTGTTTTTTCCTGGTTCAGTCTTGGTAGGTTGTATATAAGTAGGAACTTGTCCATTTCTTCTAGACTTTCCAATTTATTGACATATAGTTGCACATATTAGCTACTAATGATCCTTTGAATTTCTGCAGTAACAGTTATAAAGTCTGTTTTTACATTTCTGATTTTATTTATTTGTATATTCTTTTTTTTTCTTAGTTTGGCTAAAGGTTTGTCAATTTTGCTTACGTTTTCAAAAATCCAACTTTTTGTTTCACTCATCATCTGTATTATTTCATTTCAGTTCATTCATTGCTACTCTGATCTTTATTATTTTTTTCTACTCATTTTGGGTTCGGTTTGCTCTTGCTTTTCTAGTTGTGTAAGATGCTCATTTGAAGTTTTTCCTCTTTTTTGATGTAGGCACTTGTAGTTCTAAACTTCCCTCTCAGTATTGCTTTTGCCGTATCCCATAGGTTTTGGGATGTTGTGTTTCCATTATGATTTGTTTTAAGAAATTTTCAGTTCTTTACTTCTTCATTTACTCACTGGTCATTCAGGAACATATTGTTTAATTTCCGTGTATTTCTGTAGTTTCCAAAATTCCTGTTGTCATTAATTTCCAGTTTTGTTCCATTGTGGTCAGAGAAGGTCCTTGAAACAATTTCAATTTTTGTTGAATGTTTTAAAACTTGTTTTGTGACCTGACATATGGTCTGTCCTTGGAAATGATCAATGTAGTGAGGCAAAGAATGTGGATTTTGCAGCCCTTGGATGAAATGTCCTGTAAATATCTATTAGATCCATTTGGTCTGTAGTGTAGATTAAGCCTGATGTTTCTTTGTTGCTTTTTCTGTCTGGAAGATCTGTCCAATGCAGAAAGTGGGGTGAAGTCTCCAGCTATTATTAGATTGGGGCCTATCTCTCTTGTTAGCACTAATAATATTTGCCTTATAATATATGGGTACCCCAGGGTTAGGTGCAAATATATTTAAAATTGTTATATCCTCTCACTGAATTGACCCCTTTATCATTATATAGTGACCTTGTTTGTCTCTTCTTATAGTTTCTGTTTTGAAATCTATTTTGTCTGATACAAATATATCAGAAAAAATATTTTTTAGTTTCCATTGGTGTGGAATATCTTTTTCTATCCCTTTATTTTCAGTCTGTTTGTGTCTTTATAGGTGAAGTGTGTTTCTTGTAGGCAACAGACTAATGGGTCTTGTTTTTTCATCCATTCAGCCAGTCTATGTCTTGATTGTAGTTTAGTCCATTTGCATTCAATGTTATTATTTATAAGTAAGGACTTACACCATTTTGTTATTTTTTTTCTGGTGGTTTAGTGGTCTTTCTTCTTTCTTTCCTTCCTGTCTTCCTCTAGTGAAGGTGATAGGATTTAGTTTCTTGCTTTTTATTTTTTTGTATGTACATTATATGTTATTTATTTATTTATTTATTTATTTATTTATTTTTTATTGATAATTCTTGGGTGTTTCTCACAGAGGGGGATTTGGCAGGGTCATAGGACAATAGTGGAGGGAAGGTCAGCAGATAAACAAGTGAACAAAGGTCTCTGGTTTTCCTAGGCAGAGGACCCTGCGGCCTTCCGCAGTGTTTGTGTCCCTGGGTACTTGAGATTAGGGAGTGGTGATGACTCTTAACGAGCACGCTGCCTTCAAGCATCTGTTTAACAAAGCACATCTTGCACCGCCCTTAATCCATTCAACCCTGAGTGGACACAGCACATGTTTCAGAGAGCACAGGGTTGGAGGTAAGGTCACAGATCAACAGGATCCCAAGGCAGAAGAATTTTTCTTAGTACAGAACAAAATGAAAAGTCTCCCATGTCTACTTCTTTCTACACAGACACGGCAACCATCCGATTTCTCAATCTTTTCCCCACCTTTCCTGCCTTTCTATTCCACAAAGCCGCCATTGTCATCCTGGCCCGTTCTCAATGAGCCGTTGGGCACACCTCCCAGACGGGGTGGTGGCCGGGCAGAGGGGCTCCTCACTTCCCAGTAGGGGTGGCCGGGCAGAGGCGCCCCTCACCTCCTGGGCGGGGCAGCTGGCCGGGCAGGGGGGCTGACCCCCCCACCTCCCTCCCGGATGGGGCGGCTGGCCGGGCAGGGGGCTGACCCCCCCCACCTCCCTCCCGGACGGGGCAGCTGGCCGGGCAGAGGGGCTCCTCACTTCCCAGTAGGGGCGGCCGGGCAGAGGCGCCCCTCACCTCCCGGATGGGGGGGCTGGCTGGGCGGGGGGCTGACCCCCCCACCTCCCTCCCGGATGGGGCGGCTGGCCGGGCGGGGGGCTGACCCCCCCACCTCCCTCCCGGATGGGGCGGCTGGCCAGGCGGGGGGCTGACCCCCCCACCTCCCTCCCGGACGGGGCGGCTGGCCGGGCAGAGGGGCTCCTCACTTCCCAGTAGGGGCGGCCGGGCAGAGGCGCCCCTCACCTCCCGGACGGGGCGGCTGGCCGGGCGGGGGGCTAACCCCCCCACCTCCCTCCCGGACGGGGCGGCTGGCCGGGCAGAGGGGCTCCTCGCTTCCCAGTAGGGGCGGCCGGGCAGAGGCGCCCCTCACCTCCCGGATGGGGCGGCTGGCCGGGCGGGGGGCTGACCCCCCCACCTCCCTCCCGGACGGGGCGGCTGGACGGGCAGAGGGGCTCCTCGCTTCCCAGTAGGGGCGGCTGGGCAGAGGCGCCCCTCACCTCCCGGATGGGGCGGCTGGCCGGGCGGGGGGCTGACCCCCCCACCTCCATCCCAGACGGGGCGGCTGGCTGGGCAGAGGGGCTCCTCACTTCCCAGTAGGGGCGGCCGGGCAGACGCGCCCCTCACCTCCCGGACGGGGCGGCTGGCCGGGCGGGGGGCTGACCCCCCCACCCATCTCCCTCCCGGACGAGGCGGCTGGCCTGGCGGGGGGCTGACCCCCCCCACCTCCCTCCCGGACGGGGCAGCTGGCCGGGCGAGGGGCTGACCCCCCCACCTCCCTCCCGGACGGGGCGGCTGGCCGGGCGGGGGGCTGATCCCCCAACCTCCCTCCAAGACGGGGCGGCTGGCCGGGCGGGGGGCTGACCCCCCCACCTCCCTCCCGGATGGGGCGGCTGGCCGGGCAGAGGGGCTCCTCACTTCCCAGTAGGGGTGGCCGGGCAGAGGCGCCCCTCACCTCCCGGACGGGGCAGCTGGCCGGGCGGGGGGCTAACCCCCCCACCTCCCTCCCGGACGGGGCGGCTGGCTGGGCAGAGGGGCTCCTCACTTCCCAGTAGGGGCGGCCGGGCAGAGGCGCCCCTCACCTCCTGGACGGGGCAGCTGGCCGGGCGGGGGGCTGACCCCCCACCTCCCTCCTGGACGGGGCGGCTGGCCGGGCGGGGGGCTGATGCCCCCACCTCCCTCCCGGACGGGGCGGCTGGCCTGGCGGGGGGCTGATCCCCCTACCTCCCTCCCGGATGGGGCGGCTGGCCGGGCAGGGGGCTGACCCCCCCCACCTCCCTCCCGGACGGGGCGGCTGATGGGGCGGGGGGCTGACCCCCCCACCTCCCTCCCGGACGGGGTGGCTGCCGGGCGGAGACGCTCCTCACTTCCCAGACGGGGCGGCTGCCGGGCGGAGGGGCTCCTCACTTCCCAGACGGGGTGGCTGCCGGGCGGAGGGGCTCCTCACTTCTCAGACGGGGCGGCCGGGTAGAGATGCTCCTCACCTCCCAGACGGGGTTGCCGCCGGGCAGAGGTGCTCCTCACATCCCAGACGGGGCGGCGGGGCAGAGGCGCTCCCCACATCTCAGACGATGGGCGGCCGGGCAGAGACGCTCCTCACTTCCTAGATGTGATGGCGGCCGGGCAGAGGTGCTCCTCACTTCCTAGGTGGGATGGCGGCCGGGCGGAGACGCTCCTCACTTTCCAGACTGGGCAGCCAGGCAGAGGGGCTCCTCACATCCCAGATGATGGGCCGCCAGGCAGAGATGCTCCTCACTTCCCAGACGGGGTGGCGGCCGGGCAGAGGCTGCAATGTCGGCACTTTGGGAGGCCAAGGCAGGCGGCTGGGAGGTGGAGGTTGTAGCGAGCCGAGATCACGCTACTGCACTCCAGCCTGGGCACCATTGAGCACTGAGTGAACGAGACTCCATCTGCAATCCCGGCACCTCAGGAGGCCGAGGCTGGTGGATCACGTGCGGTTAGGGGCTGGAGACCGGCCTGGCCAACACAGCGAAACCCCGTCTCCACCAAAACCAGTCAGGCCTGGCGGCGCGAGTCTGCAATCGCAGGCACTCGGCAGGCTGAGTCAGGAGAGTCAGGCAGGGAGGTTGCAGTGAGCCGAGATGGCAGCAGTACAGTCTAGCTTCGGCTCAGCATGAGAGGGAGACCGTGGAAAGAGAGGGAGAGGGAGACCGTGGGGAGAGGGAGAGGGAGAGGGAGAGGGAGAGGCAAAGGCAGGCGCAGAGGCAGGCACAGAGGCAGGGGCAGGGGCAGGGGCAGGGGCAGGGGCAGAGGCAGAGGCATTATATGTTTTTTTGTTTGAGGTTACCATGAGGCTTGCAAATATATCTTGTAACCCATTATTTTAACTTGATAACAACTTAACACTTGTATAAACAGACAAGCAAAAGGAAGAATAATAAAAACTCTACACCTTAACTTTGTCCCCCAGCTTTTAAACATTTTGTTGTTTCTGTCTTATTGTGTTGCCTATGTCTTGAAAAGTTATTATTTTTCATTGGTTCATCATTCAGACTTCCTACTTAGGATAAGAGTAGTTTACACACCACATTACAGTGTTATAATATTTGGTGTTTTTCTGTGTACTTACTATTACTAGTGAGTTTTGTACCTTCAGGTGATCATTTATTGCTCATTAATGTCCTTTTCTTTCTGATTGAAGTACTCCCTTTAGCACTTCTTGTAGGACAGGTCTGATATTGAAATCTGTTAGCTTTTGTTTGTCTGGGAAGGTGTTTATTTTTCCTTCATGCTTGAAGGATACTTTTGCTGGCTATACTCTTCTAGGGTAAATGTTTTTTTTTATTTCTTCAGCATGTTAAATATGTAATTCTTGGGAAGGCTTTCCAGACATTTGAAAGGACTTGTGTGTTGTGATCTAAGCTGTTTCTGCTTTAGGGCTCACCACAAGCCTGGTAATGTTATGGTTCTTGCAGACTCTTAGAGGTACCAGCCACCTTGATGGTCTTGGACAAGATCAGGGAGAATTCTCTTGATTACCAGTCAGAGGCTCTTGTTGTTTCCTTACTTTCTCCCAAACATATAAAATCTCTCTCTCTGTTCTAAGCCACCTAAAGCTGGAGGTGGAGTGACACCCCTGGGGCCACCACCACTATGACTGCTCTGCATCAGACCTGAAGCTGGCACAGTGCTGGGTCTTGTCCAAGGCCTGTTATAGCCACTCCCTGGCTACTGCCTATGTTTGCTGAAGGCCCTGGGACTCTGCAGTCAGCAGGCAGCAAAGCCAGCCAGGCCTGTGTCCTTCCCTTCCTGGTGATGAAGTCTCCCAATCCCTTCGTGGATATAGAAGTGCTGTCAGGGAGTCAGGGACTAGAATCAAAAACCTTAGAAGTCTACCCGGTGTTATCTTGTATTGCACTGTTGGGGCACTCAAACCACAAGGTGCAGTTCTTCCCACTCTTCCTTCCCTTTTCTGAAGGCAGACAAGCCTTACCCCATAGCCACTCACCCCAGACCATAGGACTACTGCCAGAATACTGCTGGCATTCTCTTAAGTCCCAGGATCTCTTAACTCAGCTTGTTGTAAATGCTGCCTGGACTGGGACTCACCCTTGAGGGTAGTGGGTTCCCCACTGGCCAAGGGCAGGTCCGGAAATGCTGTTCAATAGTCAAGGCCTGAAATTGGGGCACCTTAAGTGCCCGCTTGGTGCTCTACCCTTCTGTGGCCTTGCTGGTATCTAAGGTACAAGAGAAAGTCCCCTTTACTTTTCCCTCTGCTTTTCTCAAGCAGAAGGAGTTTTGCTCTGTAGTCACCACAATTGGTAATGTGCTGAGTCTCACTTAAAGTCTGCAAGTCTCACAGGCTCGCCTGAAGCCGTAAGTGTAGTACCTGGGTAATGTTGCTGATTATTCAGGGTCCAAGGGCTCTTTAGTTAGCAGGTGATGAATGCTGCCAGCACGAAGTCCTTTCTTTCAAGGCAGCAGGTTCCCTTCTGGCTCAGGGTGTGTATAGAAATGTCTGGGAACTAGGACCTGGAATAGGGACCACACAACTCTGACCAGTGCCCTATCTTGCTATGGCTGAGGTGGTTTCCAAGATGCAAGACAAAGTCCTCCCCACTTTCCTCTCCTTTCCTCAAGTGGAGGAATGGCGTGTCTTTTGGAGCTATGAGCTGTGCAGCCTGGGGTTAAGGGAGTGGTGATGCCAGCCCTCCCTTGACTGCCTCAGCTAGTATCTCAGTATGCCATGTGTCCTCCTGTCCACTGTCTCTGGGCCTAGTTCAGTACTAGGACTCGCCTACAAGTTGCAGTCCTTATGGCCTCAAATGCCTTTCAAATTTACTTGGAGACACAGAGTGCTGTAGCCCTTGTTGGCGAGGTTTGCAGGCAGTCAATTTCTGACCACTAGGATCAGTGATTCCCCTCTGGCTAGAGTGGGTTTAAATGCTCCCATCTTGGGTGGGCTTTAGCTGAGTTTGGTCCAGTTTTCCTTTTTGCTCTAACAGGACAGCAGTTGCTGTTCAGTACCTCACAGTTGCTGTGTTCTCCCTCCCCCAGACGCTCTCATAGACACTCTCTGCACCATGCTCCAGTAGGAGCTGGGGTGCAGGGGGTGACGTCAGCAATTCGGGACTGCTTTTTTTTTGTATCTTTTCAGTGCCCCTTTCAGTAAGATGAAGTTAAAACCAGGTACTATGAGTACTCACCTGATTTTTGGTTCTTATGAAGGTGTTTTTTTCTGTGTAGATAGTTGTTAACTTGGTGTTCTTGTGGGCTTGGGGATGATTGGTGGAGCTTTCTATTCTGCTGTCTTGTTCCACCGTCCCCACTCTCTCAAATCGTAAAAGCAAGACCTAAAAGGATCAAACTATATTCAAGAACCATTTCTGTATCCTAGAACAAAGCTCAAAAATATTGATAGTAGTTAGAAAAACACCCACCACCCAACATGGTAAAATTCAAAATGTTACCATTCATGCATAGAAGCAGGAAAAATACCCCCTTAATTGAGGGAAAATTAATCAATCTAATCCTACCAGGAATTGACAGAGATGTTAGAATGATCAGGTAAGGGCTTTAAGTGTTGTTGTAACTTTGTTTATTATCTTGAAAAAGTTAAGTGGAGACATGTAAGAATTACAAAAGACCAAACTGAACTTCTATAGGTAGCATCCACAGTGTCAGAAATGAATGCAAAGGTTGTGATCTGTGGCAGATTAGATTTTCCAGAAGGAAAGATTAATGAACTTGAGGACATAGTAATAGAAACTATCCAAAATGAAACAGTGAGATAAAAGTATTTTTAAAAATTAAAAAAAAGGACTTCACTGAACTATAGAACTATTTCTGTATATGGAACTGGGACGTGTGAAAATGGAGAGGGGGAAACAAAATATTTGAAGAAATAATGCCTGAAAGCTTTCCACATTTAATAAAAACAATTTGCAAGTCCAAAAAGTCCGATAAACCCCAAGCAAAGAAACATGAATACTACACCAAGGCACATGATAATCAAATTGCTCAAAACCAGTGATAAAGGGAAAACCTTGAGATTAACAGCAGGCAGAAGAAAAAAGACAATTCATGTATGAACAAAGATATGAATGTCATCAGATTTCGTGTTGAAAACAATGTAAGAGAGATGACAATTGATGAATATATCTGAGTAGAGAAAAAGGTGGAAAAAACCTGTCAACTGAGATTTCTATACCCAATGAAAATATCTTTAAAAATATAGGCAAAATAAGGAATTGTTTGGGAGTGATGAGTATGTTCTGTTTTCTCTTTGATTTTCTTGGTCAGTCTACCTGAAAGTTTGCCAATTTTGTTGATCTTTTTGAAGAATTAATTTTTTAAATTTCATTTGTTTTCTCTGTATTTCTTCTATTTTCTGTTTCATTTTTTTCTCCTTTCACTGTTTTATATGGTTTGCTTTAATTTTTTAGAATTTATCTTAAGAGGTAAAAGCTTAGGTTATCAATTTGATATCTTGTTTTCAATGTTGGTGTTTAAAACTATTAGTGTCCCTCTAAGCACTGCTTCCACATCCCATAAATTTAGATATATTGCTTTCATTTTCACTCAGCTTGAAATAATTTCCAGTTATCTTTGTTTCTTCTTTGATTCATGTATTTTTAAGATATGCATTCTTTAGTTTTCAAATATATGTGAATTTTCCAATTTTTAATTTTTTTTTTTTTTTTGAGACAGAGTCTTGCCCTGTTGCCCAGACTGGAGTGCAGTGGCACGATCTCGGCTCACTGCAGGCTCCACCTCCTGCCTCATCTCCTGCCTCAGCCTCCTGAGTAGCTGGGACTACAAGTGCCTGCCACCATGTCCGGCTAATTTTTTTATGTTTTTAGTAGAGACGGGGTTTCACCGTGTTAGCCAGGATGGTCTCGATCTCCTGACCTTGTGATCTGCCCGCCTCGGCCTGCCAAAGTGCTGGGATTACAGACGTGAGCCACCATGCCCGGCCTTTAATTGTTGATTTCTAGTTAATTGTTATGGTTGGTGAATATAGTTTGCATGATTTAAATTATTTTACATTTATTGAGACTTGTTTTGTGGCCAAGTACGTGGTCTGTCCTGGAGAATGTTCTGTGTGTGCTTATAAGAAGCATATATTCTGCTGTTTTTGTATGGAGTATTCTGTAGATTCAGAATTCAGGTTGGTTGATAATACTGCTCAAGTTTTCTATATTATTACTGATTTTCTGTCTCTTTGTTCTAGCGATTATTGAGACATATCTGATGAATATTGTTGAATTGTCTGTTTCCTTATTTCTGTCATTTTTTGCTTCATCTGTTTTGGAGATCTGTTAGTAGATGCAGGCATGTTTATAGTTATAGTTTCCTGATTAATATAACCTTTTAATGTTATAAAATGTCTATTATTGTCTGTGGTAACTTTTCTTTCTTAGAATAGATTTTGTCAGATATTGGTATAGCTGTTCTCTCTTATGATTACTTTTTGCACGGTATGTTTCCATTTTTTTATTTACAACCTGGTTGCTTCTTTGAATCAATGTATATCTTCTATAGACAGGATATAGTTAGATCCTGTATAGTTTTTTTTTAATCCAGTCTTAGAAATAATCTCTGCTTTTGATTAACATGTTTATGTACACTTAATGTTTGACAATGTATAGAATTCAGCCATTTGAAATGGCACTAGTTAAATACATTTGTAGCTGTGTAAGCCAGGTAAATCAGTACTGTGACTTCTTGCTACTCTCACCCTGTGTTTGGTTACTAGCCTTAACAGGTAAGATCTATCTTGTTCTCTTGCCTTGTCTTGGCAATGTGCTTGCTATTCCAGCACCCTTGAAACTAGGGCTCTGTTCAGTTTTGATCAGACCCACCTACAGCTTCCTCAAAATAACCATTTGACCTAAAACTCAGGCTTGGCAGCTGGGAAACTCTCATTTAAGTTGTTATAATACTTTCCCGATCTTTGTGGGAACAAGGTGGGGATAGACAGATACCCATAACATATCACAGTAGCTAATATTCAGGGAAAGCAAAGTTTAATTAATTTTAGTTTATTGTACTTACAAATGGAGTAGCCCAGTTTAGAATGATTTGTATCGAAATAAAGAGTTAAATAAGCTTGGACACATAGAGCTACTTCTCCAGTATTTTTTTTTAAACTTTTTTTGAAAACATTCAGACAGAAAGGCATGTTTCCTGAGAGTTGTTTATTACCAAGTTTTTTCTGTGCTAAAATTAGTAGTCACAGATATGTAAAAAATTGCCCTCCTTTTTTAAGGAAGAGAAGGAACCCTAGAAAACTAGTGTAGGCTTGTAGTTCTTCCTTAATCTTAGATTTAATTTGTTCTGGAAACATAGAACTTTAGAGATTACTTACCCAGAACCTTCAGGAATGTCTATCTGGGAATGATTATTGGTATACACTATTACTTATTATATAATAGTAGTAGTAATAATAATGGTTATGATGATCTCTCATGTAGTGAGAACTCAAGAAGGACAAAGTTCATATGCAAAACAGTATGTTTTGCTTCTTCATTTGTCATTTCAAGATATATGTTTGGTGGATCTAGATGGAATGGATTTTGTATCATTAAAAAAACAACCCTTAAACTTCTGTTGATACTCAGGAGGCTTAGTATACTATAGCCTATTGGCATAAAGTGCTGAATTTTCCCCAGGGTTACCACTGAAGGAAGAAAGTCTGGACGAGTAGTTTCCTGGCATATGCTTCTTGAATTGTTGGCTATTTTGGTGTCAAATTTTATGTTGAGAGTTTCATGTTTTAATGACAAAAATGTTTACTGGAAATTATAGCTTGGAAAAGAGAGCCACTTTCCTGCTTCAGTAGAAAGCTAGGTAAAGCATTGATGTGGGGTAAAGTAGCTGTGGAGTTTTATATTCAGATTGTATGAACAGTAAACAGAGCATCTAAAATAACCACTTGCACGTTGCAACAAACACATCATCATTTGCTTAAAAAAGAGTTATAATTACAGTTGACGAAGCATGGACACCATAAAAAATGCATTAGTTTGGCTTGACACATTAATTACCTGTTTTTGCAGATGTTTTTATGTATTGTTGTATGAACAGTTTACAAAATAATTACAGGAAAGTCATATGGAAAATAAACTAAGTGGGTGGTTTCTCGTCTAAATATTTTCATTCATGTGAATCTGTGAGGCACAGCTGCTCTATAGCAAAAGCAGAGAGATAGATGAGGATTCTCGAAGTGTTTTTTATTAGTCGATCTCTCATCAGTATCACCACATTTTTATATCTGTAGCAATACAGTTTAAAAACATTTGAGAGGGCTGATTTATTCCCTGTGATTACTCAAAAATCTTTGATTCTGATCAGAAGAAATGTGGATATCTACGATTATTTTAAAGTAAACCAAATGAAACCCAAAAAACCCTAAATGAAAATCTATTATTTTAGTTCTGACAGGTTATTAGGCACCTTGAGAAAGAGTTAATCATTATTTTGTAATTACTTGAGTTATGCAGTTTTATATTACTTATAGCTTATTATATCTTTATAATTAAACTTTGTCATGTGTAAATTACACAGTTCAGCTTATTTGTTCTCTCTTATGAAGTATTAAAACTGTAAATCTGCCTTTTCTCAGAAGCATACTGTGTTGCCGTTAGTGTTCTCAAAATGGGTTTCATCTGAAAAATAGCCAGGTCATTATACAGAGATATTTTACCTTTACAAAATATTACGGAACACATCATTCAAAATTATAACTGTCAAACAATAAAAAGATAGCTTTGTAGACATCATTCTGTTTACACAGTGGTTTATAATTACTTAGAATATCTGTGCTGTATTTTCCTCATGTTATTACAATTTTTCATAAAATTAAATCAAAATATAGATTCTCCTTTTAGTCCAATCATGCATCTTTTGGAATATGTTCACCTGTATTCCTTTTGTTTGCATTTCAGCTACACGGATGATGAAGACCATAATTAAAGATACTTTCCCTGACATGCATTTTATGTAACTATTGTTTAAGTTAGAGAAAGGCACTAAGTTATAGAAAGAGGTAATTGAGACATCAGTAGGCATGAAGGTATTGTTATCAGACCTTATAATAGTGGTGGCAAGTCATATACAACATGGAATACTATGCAGCCATAAAAAAGGATGAGTTCATGTCCTTTGTAGGGACATGGATGAAGCTGGAAACATAATTCTGAGCAAACTATCGCAAGGACACAAAACCAAACACCACATATTCTCACTCATAGGTGAGAATTGAACAATGAGAACACTTGGACACAGGGTGGGGAACATCACACACTGGGGCCTGTCATGGGGTGGGGGGATGGGGGAGGGATAGCATTAGGAGAATATCTAACATAAATGACGAATTAATGGGTGCAGCAAACCAACATGGCACATGTATACATATGTAACAGATCTGCACATTGTGCACATGTACCCTAGAACTTAAAGTATAATAAAAAAAATAGTGGTGGCAAGTAATTTATATACTTATCCATTCATTTGTTTAACAAAATTTTATTGAAGGTCTTCTACATGTAATGTTCTATGACAGTGCTGAGATGACTATAAACATTGAGATGACCATGTGCCTGGAACATAGTAGATAACTCAGAAACTATTAGGCATCTTTTAAAGGGGATAGGAGGGGCAGGAATAAATGATAGAGAACATTTTCACTCTGGTAGTTTATATAAAGGAAGTTAATTGTTAGGGAGGATTTTCTCTGTTACTCTGAAATTGTTTTCAAATGTGATATAGTCTGAGAGTATTACTTGACTCATTCTTTTTTTTTTTTGGTGACAAAGTCTCGCTCTGTCACCCAGGGTGGAGTGCAGGGGCACCATCTTGGCTTACTGCAGCTTCTGCCTCCCAGGTTCAAATGATTCTCCTGCCTCAACCACCTGAGTAACTGGGATTACAGGTGTGCACCACCATGCCCAGCTAATTTTTGTATTTTTAATAGAGATGGGGTTTAACCATGTTGGCCAGGCTGGTCTTGAATTCCTGACCTCAAATGATCCACCTGCTTTGGCCTCCCAAAGTGCTGGGATTACAGGTGTGACCCACTGCACCTGCCCTCATTCTTTGAATCATTTAAATATGGAGATATATCTGTTTGTGTTAACAGCCATTTGAAAAAAGATGAAATGGAGTCTATTCTGATTCTGATGTATTAATACACTAAGTCAATTTAATTTTTATGGTAGAGATGCATTAAAGGAGTCTGAAACTTCATGGGTTGAGAATAATAAACTGCTTGTTATCAGTAATTGTCTTGATCACTTTAGATCATTTCAAAGGAAAAATATGGGAATTAATATCATGGCATCAAGAAAACAATTATTGGACTCTAGATTCTTCCGTAGATTTTCTACTTCTCTTAAGATGTGTGTCTCATGGCCAGTGAAAGAATGAGGAAAATCCTTTTTGGGGGTCAGGAGACTTTCCATGTTTACCAGATTAAAAACTCATAATTTATGTGGAGTTTCATTTCCAAATTTTCTCTGATGATATTTTTATTCCTTCTCATAAGGAAAAATTTTAGTTCCTTAGTTTTGGCTCTTTCTTTTTCGTTTGGTGTCTGTCATTAGATCTTTGTGATGTTTTAATCTTAATTTTTTATAAGCCATTTGACTTTAGAACATAAGAGAAACTTAAGGGACTGCTATCATTATTATTTGGACAAGAGTTTGGACTGCAAATAATTATTTGGACAAGAGTTTCTCATCACTAAGAGACTGGCCATTTTTATTGCCTGGCCAGTATCTCTCTCTGTTGCCCAGGCTGGAGTGCAGTGGTGCCATCACAGCTCATTGCAGCCTTGAACCCCTGGGCTCAAGCAATCTTCCCATCTCAGCCTCCCCAGTAGCTGGGACTACAGGTGTGTACCACCAGGCCTGGCGAATTAAAAAAAATTTTTTGTAAAGATGGGGTCCCACTATGTTGTCCCAGCTGGTCTCAAACTCCTGGGCTCAAGCCATCTTCCTGCCTCAGCCTCTCACAGTGCTGAGATTACAGGCGTGAGTCACCATACTTGGCCAGCAATGTTATTTTGAAGGGAGTAAATAAGTCTTTGGATTCTCTCTTTAAAATTGCATAACAAGGAAAAATAGGTTAGGGAGCAGAAAGAAATTGTTGAATCTAAGAACACTGTCTCTGTAGGTATTTAACACTCTATGATATAATGATGTATAATATTTGTTTTCAGTTAGTGTTACTGATAGCAGAAAAACTGCTAGACATTATTGAAAACAATCATAATTGAGGCATTGCCTGGGCATCAATATTATGACTTTTACTATTCTTTGGTGACTCTCTGAATTTCTAGGGTCACATGAAATTGGTTTTGAAAAAACATTAATAGGGGGTTGACTAAATGCAAATGGAAATCAGATTCCCTGACTGGTTCATGTTATACATGGAAAGACTGATGGCTTCAGAGTTGTGGTAGATGTGTAGAACTATAAATTACTGTTCTTCTCAAGGTTGCCTTTTGTTGTCAGAACACTTAGCATAAGGCAGAAATGGTAGGCTGTACCTGAAAAGAACAAAACACCATTAAACATAATAAATCAGCACTTAAAAAAAACTAACTGTAACTACCAAGGCCATCTCAAGTGTGAGTTTTCTTTTATGTGACTAAAGTTGTTAACAACAACAACAAAAAAGAAGGCAAAAAAGCAGCAACAAACAAAAACTCAAACCGAGTTTGATTTGGATGTTCTTTCTATTGTGATAAATCTGAATGAAATCAAGCATGCTTGACTAAGCACAGGGCCCATTGGGAGAGTATTTGTGGTGTAGAGAAATAAAGATAAGAATATAATAAAATGTGACTAAGTAGAGTCTTATGTGGGGATTAACTTCTGTGCATGTGGCAGAAATCAAATAGAGTCAAAATACTCTTAATAGCCCCTTAAAATTTCCCACGAAACACAGATATAGACATACTGTCTTTCAAGATGTTTAAATTGGCTTGTTCTTCCTCCAGCATGGCTTTTCTTTTGTTGAACAAATGATGAGGCTGTTAGTTATATTCTTTTTAGTGACTAAGAGTAGAATTGAAAGAACCGTTTTTTATTCTAGGTTGCGAAACTGAATTTTATTAGTTCCATGAGTAAAAATGCCTCTTGATTTTTTTTTTTTAAATGGGCAAATGAGAAAAGGCCATTGTTATCCAAATACATATTTGGGTAATAAAGATGTTCAAGAGACCAGTTTTTCTCAGAAAGACCTGTTCTCTTTTACATGGTATGACATATAACTCTTTGTAGCTCCAGTTTTCCTGTATGTTTGTCTGTTGTCTCTCCATTCTGATTCTGCTTTGCTTTGTTGCCTAACAGGCACCTTTCTCAAATTCTTATGTTTATTTCTCTGTATCTTTGTTTCCATACTCACCTGTACTTCTCCTGTGCTCTGTATTTTTCTTGTCCTACTCAGAAACAGTAGAATAATCAAATTCAAATTCAGTTATGGTACTTTATATTGAAAGGTAGCTTAGGATAGTGGCAAGTACCCTGAAGTATGGTGTAAGACATGGTTTAGGTTCAGGCTCTTATAGTAACTGTGTAACTGAGAAAGACATTTCACATTCCTCAGACTTAATTTTCTTATAAAAGAGAAGAGATATATTTCTTATAAATAGAATATGGTATAATGAAGGGTGCCAAGTGGTGATGGCTTCTTGGATAAGTTAGAATTTCTGGATTCCGTTATCTGTATACCGTGCCTTCTATAAACTTTTCTTAGTGACTGAAGTCAGAGATGGTGCACTGAGAAACACAGCATGGGTAATTGAGTGTTTCTGTAAATTTCATCAACAACTTTGGATTTTCTCCTCATATCTACTCAGCTACTCCCTATCAGAGATCACACACTATAATCACCCTGTATGATCAGAAATTGAGAAGGTGAAGAAACACAGGTTGTCACAATCCACATTAAGACATCTCTTATGATACACCAGAACTTTTTAACATAAAGGTTATTAAATAATGGGAACAATTTTTCTTTCTTTTTTTCTTTAAAGACAGAGTCTTGCTCTGTTCCCCAGGTTGGAGTGCAGTGGTTCATGCAGTGGCATGAGCGTGGCTCACCACAGCCATGATTTCCCAGGTTCATGTGATCCTCCTGCCTCAGCCTCCCAAGTAGCTGGAACCACAGGTGCGCACCAACACGCCTGGCTGACTTTTGTATTTTCAATAGAGACAGACATGGGATCTTGCTATGTTGCCCAGGCTTGTGTTGAACTCCTGGGATCAAGCAGTTCTCTCACCTTGGCCTCCCAAAGTGCTGGAATTGTAGGAGTGAGCCACAGCCTAGTTTTTCTTTTTTGAATGCCTAAGCCCACTGGAAATTCTTGCTGTAGCTGAATGATTAACAGATAATCATTGTGGACTGTGTGTGTGTATTTTAAAAGGGAGAACAAGAAATCAAGCAGGTTAGAGTTAATTAAACATTTTTTGGTCAATTAAAATCTGTTTAAAGTCACATTTGTCAATAATTTGACTAGTTAGAAATATCCTGGAAATCTATAGAGTCATCTTTTTTTTTTTCTGGTACTGACAAACCTGAATAAGCATTCAGGAGCAGAAATCTTCAAGAGATAGTTTTTATTCTTGGATGCTGCTGTTGATCAGCAGTGATTATGACCTCCTTTTAAGGGATTGATAAGGAAGGAACCGTAGTATTTATGTATAAGGTTACTTTTTTGAGTCTTGCTCTGTTGCCCGGGCTGGAGTGCAGTGGCATGATCTCAGCTCAGTGCAACCTCTGCCTCCCGGGTTCAAATGATTCTCCTGCCTCAGCCTCATGAGTAGCTGGTATTACAGGTGCCCGCCACCATGCCTGGCTAATTTTGTGTGTTTTTTTTGTTGTTGTTGTTGTTTTTGTTTTTTTTGAGATGGAGACTTGCACTGTCGCCCAGGCTGGAGTGCAGTGGCGCTATCTTGGCTCACTGCAAGCTCCGCCTTCCGGGTTCACACCATTCTCCTGCCTCAGCCTCTTGAGTAGCTGGGACTACAGGTTCCCACCACCACACCTGGCTAATTTTTTGTATTTTTAGTAGAGACGGGGTTTCACCATGTTAGCCAGGATGGTCTCGAACTCCTGACCTCGTGATCTGCCCACCTTGGCCTCCCAAAGTGCTGGGATTACAGGCGTGAGCCACCGCGCCCGGCCAGTTTTATGTTTTTAGTAGAGACTGGGTTTTGCTGTGTGGGCCAGGCTGGTCTCAAACTCCTGACCTCAGGTGATCCATCTGCCTCAGCCTCCCAAAGTGTTGGGATTATAGGCACGAGCCACCGCACCTGGCCTATATATAAGGCTACATTTAAAAAGCCTTTCAGTATTTCCATCACATCATTGTAGTTTCCTTGGAAGTGGAACCACCATATTCAGCAGGAGTCCATTTCAACTTCTGGCTTCTGGTTCTTGTTTCTGTTACTATGGAGACTGCCTAGAAAGTGGCAGAAAAACCAAAAGTTTAAAAAATAGTAATTTGATTATAAAATATGGCTTTAATTCTAGCTTTAACTAGTTGTTCCATATCTTGACATTTCGAATTCCAAATTATTTGGTGAGTTTTTTTTTTTTACGAAGCAAATTTTGAAACTTTATTAAAGCTTAAACACACTGAATTAAAAAGTAAATTGCCATAGTTTTTATTATATTTGAGCCTAAGGTGAATCAAAAATCTTAAATGGGGATTTAAATTAGGGCTTGGAAGGCATTATATAATCTGAAATGAGAAGAGCTAATGACAATGGAAATAGCAGACTCCAGACACAGTAAACCCTAAACCAAAGGACTAGTATTGTGTAGAAATAGCAAATAGATAGCTTTTATTATGTGGCATGTTTTATCTTCAAAGTATGTTATAGTTATTTAAGTGATTTTCACAGAATATACTCATTTTTCAACTGAGTAGAAAAGCCCTCTAAAACCTTGCCTTTAGGACGTAAGCAGATTGTAAGGGTAGAGGCAGAAGTACACTGACATTTTAATTGCGGGTTGAGGAGTTGGAGAGTTAATAAATAAATGTAGATGGTTCCACAGTTAAAAAGCAATAGAAATTTTCCCCCCACCAAGACCAGTTATATTTGTGAATTCCTCATGAAGGAGAGAAGAGGTGGAATAGTAATGTAAAAGGTGTGAAATGAAAGTTATTTAGCGAAATTGCAATCCCAACTTTGTTGCAGCTTTTCGTTGAGGTCCGTATTTAGTCAGGATTCTTTGGTTTGCATGTGCGGAAATCCAAATTCGGACTACCTCAGGGAAAGAAGGGCAGGAATGTAGCTTTGCCTGAAATCAGGGATGCCAGTTACATTAGAGGAAAGTAGGTTCACCTGAAAACACTGGGATTTCTTTCTATTTTTTCTTTTAAGTCTCGTATATCTGCTTTCTGAGTTAAGTTCGTTCTTTCACATTGGCCTTTTTTTGCATTGGCAGAAACCAGCTGTTGGCAGTTCCTACTCCTCTTATTTATAGCTCGAATAACAGAGACAGTCCAGTTTGTGTTGTGCCAATTCCTCCCTTCTTCAACTGTGGCCAGGAGGATAGGGTTCTATGATTGGCTCAGCTCCTGACTAGGGGGGCCCATCCTTGGCTAAATGGACCTTGGTGATTAGAGGGACTGATATCTGAAACAAGAAAGCAGCTTTCATTCAAACCACCTGGTTAGTGATGAGGGGAAGGGGTAGAAGAGTATGATGGGAAGAAGAAAGGGACATTTCCCAGAAGCAGAAGATGCTGTTCCAGGCAGAAATAAGAAGAGGGTTCTACTAGTAGTCTTTTGGGGGAAATTATCTCTTTATTATAATTCAGTTCACTTCAGTTCAGCAAACCAGGAAACATTGTTTTGTAGGATTTGGTTTTTAGAAAAAAACCAAGGTTGAAAACACACACACACACACACACACACACACACACACACACACACACACACACAACAGCTGTTGCATTTGGTCCTATTTGTTGAGTTGCTTAGTTGTATAATGTCTGGACTAGGGCTAGTCTTTTTGTCTTCAGAGCTTTTTACAAATAGACATTTCTTATATATTTGACTCCTACAAAAATACATCAAATTATCAATACATATTTAAATAGGAGAATGTTAGAATTTGGATAAATGAAATCAATGGGGGGTAATAGTTAGACTTGGTTGATACTAATAACTTTCATGTCTTTTCCAATTTTGAATATCTCTTCTTTTTTGTTAGAAATGTGAACAAGCAGTGTATTGGGTAGAAGGAAGTTAATTTTCAGGTTGAACTGAGGAAAATTTATTTTTTACATGTCCAGACTTTTTTTTTTAGGAGAGTCAAGCCCTACCCGTCGAGAAGCTGTGAAGAGAAGAACAGCCGAGTACCTCATGCGGGCAGAAAGTATCTCTAGTCTTTATGGGAAACCTCAGCTTGATGATGTATCTCAGGTATGTCTCATATTTTGTTGTGTGTTTTCTTCAGTGATTTTTTGCTGTCTGGTCTCTCTGCTTTATTTCTAATTAGAATGTTATAGGATTTTGATTTTTTGAATTTTATTAATGATTTTCATAAAGGTTGTTGGTAGAAAGAAATGCATTATAGCAAACCACCAAAAGTGGAATAAAATAAGACTTGCTTTCTCCTTTTCTTGGTCTTTTATTAGTTTCTTACTGTACCCTTAATCTCCTCATCTGTAGATTGACAGTAATTTATACTGTTATGATATCTATTTGTATTTGGACATTTTAAAGTTAGATTGTGATTCTTGTATAATTGTTCTCCAGTTTTATTGATTCATGTTAAAACTATTCATTTTAAGCCTAAGTTATACAAGTATATGCTATTGGTCACCTGGAATTATAAAAGCATAATTCTAGCAGAGATAGTTATGTTATTTGGGACTTCTGCTAGACTTGTCTAAAACGCAGATGAATACTGAAAACATTAGAAACATTGCAGGTTATTATTGTTTTTATGCTGTATCGACCTGGATTTGGCAAATTTCTGGAGGAAACTTTTCTGTTATTTTTTTTCTTTATATCAAATGCAATTTAAGAATTGTGTCTTCCGGAAATGGGAGAAAGGGTTTAGTTTCTTTTCTTTTCTTTTTTTTTTGAAACGGAGTCTCACTCTGTCCCCCAGACTGGAGTGCAGTGGCACGATCTAGGCTCACTGCAAGCTCCGCCTCCCGGGTTCACGCCATTCTCCTGCCTCAGCCTCCCAAGTAGCTGGGACTACAGGCACCCACCACATGCCCGGCTAACTTTTTTGTATTTTTAGTAGAGACAGGGTTTCACCATGTTAGCCAGGATGGTCTCGATCTCCTGACCTCATGATCTGCCCGCCTCAGCCTCCCAAATAGTTTATTTTCTTAATTGATCTAAGAGTCAGGCAGGCTTGTTCATATCCAGCTCTGCCACTTGAAGTCATAGAAGATTGGACAAGATACTTAATCCCACTTCTGCATGTCAGTTTCTATATCTGAATAATGAGAATATAGTAATTTTTTGCTGGGTAGTTACTAGGATTAAATGAAGTAAAAAAAAAAATTTCTGTGGATTACACATATACACATAAATCAAGTGCCTCTCTAGCATGAAGATCAGCCCATAAGCCAAAGACTAAGTTTTAGCCTCATTCTTCATTTCCCCTTCATATACCGGCTTATATACTTTTTCCTACACATTTTTATGCTTTGTATGCTTTTTGAAAATGATAAGATAGCAGTTGTCAAAACTGTACTAATCAGTGTAAGACATTCTGAGAATTTCTGATGTTAAGTGTTTGACCATTTCTTATAAAACAAAAAGATTGTGTTTCAACTTGCAAGCCATATATACTTATGTTGCTCTAACATAATCTAACATAATGATTGTGTTTTAAATGACATTATTCTGCTGATTGATTTTCAGATTGTGAATTACTGCGACTCTTTTAGTCTGTATTCTGTTTGCTAATCTTATCCTATTCTCTATCATTGTTCTTTTAATTATATTAAATTTATTTCCTTTACTTTTTCACCATTGAATTTTATCTTTTTAAGTGGAATATTTATGTAAACATTACTTTGATTCAATTCCCATTTTCCGTGGGATTGACAACCTTCCTCGTGTGCAGTACTAATGTGTATATACTCAATTTCATTTTGGGGGGGCATTGATGAAAGCATTAACATAATTCCCTGTGAACTTGCTTTACTAAATCCATCTTGTATATAAATATTGTAAAAGTTTTTTTAAATTTTTAAATTTTTAAGTTTTTTTTTTTTTTTTTTGAGATGGAGTCTCGCTCTGTCACCCAGGCTGGAGTGCAGTGGCGCGATCTCAGCTCACTGTAACCTCCGCTTCCCGGGTTCAGGCGATTCTCCTGCCTCAGCCTCCCGAGTAGCTGGGACTACAGGCGCATGCCACTATGCCTGGCTAATTTTTGTATTTTTAGTAGAGATGGGGTTTCGCCATGTTGGCTAGGCTGGTCTTGAACTCCTGACCTCAGGTGATCCACCCACTTTTGCCTCGCAAAGTGCTTGTGATTACAGGCATGAGTCACCACGCCTGGCCAGTATTCTAAAAGTTTTAGGGATTTAAAATTACCAGTATTCTATTCATTCTTATAACATTAAATTTGAATGGTTTACCTATACTTATTCATGTAATCCTCCTACTTTTGCATCCCTGTTAGTTTCCTATAGGCATATCTATGAAGCAATAATTTCTTAGGTAAATAAGTATGTTGAGCCTCCTGTATAGTTTTAACTAGAAGAATAGAACCATGAAGTATATCAGTCAGAATTTCTTCAAGTATAACTTCTAATGAGAATAAAACAGAAGAGATCTAATATAGGAAAGCTGATTACATTTGATTATACAGTAATTCATTAAGCATCTTTTAAGACTGTATATAGAATCAAACTAGATATACTTTGGAGTTATACAAAAGATGATGACACAGCCTGCTCTTGCAAATCCTGTAGCATAGTTGAGGACCTGTATATGTACATAGTTGAGCAAACAAAGTTACACTGGTAAGAGCCATCCTAATGGGAAATTCTATCAGAAAGGATAAAAAGGAGTGCCTTCTGAATCTGATTTGACATGTAGGATTTTTTCGGTTCTTAGGCAAGGAGGCTAGAGGAGAGTAGGCACAGTATTTTTCTTTTATGGTAAACATTTGCTTTTTAAATTTTCCTTTTGTATGTTATTTTGTTAAGCCTGGCCCTTTTTGGCCAAGAGCATCCTTGATTATTTTCTCATGTATAATTTAAGTTAAAAGTCTTCCAGAGGATTGTGATTAGCTTGGTGCATTTATTATTTCACTTCTTTAACCATCTTTGGGTCTGAATTTCAACCAACACAATGAGAGGATTTGTGTAAATGATTTCTAAGGCCCCTTTAGCTCAAATTTGGTGCAAAGCAGATATTATTTCTCTCTGGAATCAGTGTGCAAACATTTCTTTCTAGCCTGGTTGATTAAGACAATAAAGGAACCCTTTTTGGCTTTTTAAATTTTTGTTAATTATTGTTTTCTCCTTTGGTACAGTCTATCATGACTTCTTCCACCCAGGTTTTCTGTGATGTTTTAAGTGTTTGTATTGAACTTTAGAGATCTTTATATAATAAATATAAAAGTTCTAAGTTTCCCAGTCATTCATGTTAATATCCTTTTTGCAAAAGCACAGAAAGGAAAAAAAGCACTCTCTTACTCTTTTTCTTCATTGCTTCATTACTAAAAGGCTCCAAGAAAATTTAGGAGCAGGTTTCACATAAAAAGGAAATGAGGTTTTTTTTAAAGTAAAGGTTGAATCTTAACTGAAGGAGACAGATTTCTTTCTTTTTTTTTTTTCAAATAAATCCTAGACAACGTTGAATGATTTAAGAATTAATGTTGAAAGAAGCTTTCCCTGGAAAAGATTTAGAATAGTTTTTTTGCTTTTTTTAGCTATAGGAATTTGAAACTAAAGATCAAATTTAGAAAAAGACAATAAATGATCTAAATTTAGCACATAAAATATTTGTGTAGTTTCTAAAGTGTGAATATGTTTTTATGCAGTTACAAGGTGTGAATGAAAATTAATATGTAGAATGTGTGCCTTTCCTGAATATTTGTAGATTTTGAGTACAACTGATATAATATTGCAAGTATTTTTCTATTGTGCATTTTGTTTACTTGTATTATTAATTGATATTATTCCATTATTCCTTAGAAAATATTTTAAATTTGCCCTCAGTGAGACATTTGCTTAAGTCAGTAATAGGTCTGCAATTTAGTGTCAGGCTTGAAATGTGACCTAGTGCGGCTCAGGAGACGGGGTATTAGGGTTGGTAGATTGCCCGTGAAAGTCTTTGCAAAGCCAAAAATTCATGGATGAAGCCAAATTCAGGAGCTTTGTCATAATTAGACAGTAGAGTTCAGAGTGTGGTTTCTTGATACATTCTTTGTGGTGCTTTCCTTTTGCCCTTGATTGCTTGTTTTCCCGCAGTAATGGTTACTCTCTCTCAGGTTATTTGAGGAGTAAGTAACCGTATTCTAAATGTGGTTGGTGAAACAGCAGCATCAGCATCACCTGAGAGCTAGGTGGAAATGCAGAATATCAGACCTACTGAATCAGTATCTTCTTTTTAACAAGATCATCAGGTGGTGCACATAAAATTTAAGAAGTACTGCACCAACAGATTGGGAAGAATAGAGAGAGAGATCTCACTGAGAACAGGAAATAATATCAAGTGAAAAAGACAGTGGGCAGGCTGAACACCAACTTCAAAAACAAATCCCCAAACAGAAACAAAGCCTTTTAAAGAATGTACAACAGGCCTGTAATCCCAGCACTTTGGAAGGCTGAGGCAGGTGGATCACTTGAGGCCAGGCGTTCGAGACCAGCCTGGCCAACATGGTGAAACTGCATCTCTACTAAAAATACAAAAAATAAAAAAATAAAAAAATTAGCCAGGTGTGGTGGCACATGCCAGTAACCCCAGCTACTCAGGAGGCTGAGGCACAAGGTTATCGTTTGAGCCTGGGAGATCGAGCTTGCAGTGAGCCGAGATCGTGTCACTGCACTCCAGCCTTGGTGACAGAGCGAGAACAACAATAGTAAGTAGGTTTTAACTAGTGTGCCAATTCTAATCCATGCGTAGTGGCTGCCAAGAGCATTGTATTGAGAAGAGTTGTGAGACTGTGGGATTAACAGAGATGCCTGCCGTGGACTTGACCAGTTGAGTGATATGTACTTGCCACCTCTGCTTTTGAAGATTGTTGGGTCATCATGTACTCCTGCCTCTCTTCCCTTGTCTTTAGTCCTGGTATAGATGAATACAACCATTCTTTGCCTCTCTTAGCATCTTCTGCTATAATTGCTAATAAATGTAAGTGAAAATCTTACTTTTCCATCAAGGAACTCAATCATATTACCTAGAAATACATTGCTTCTCCCGTCGCGCTTCATAGCGCAATGGGCCAAGTTTCCCCTAACAACATTCTATTATTTCATAAGTAAGATTTAATCCCCTCTTATCTATTACCTACTTTTGCTAACCTTGCTGCGTCTCAGTTTTCTCATCTAAAAAAAAAAGTTGGACTTGATCTCTAAGGTCTCTTTCTGCTCTTAAAATTCTGTGGATTTGTATGTCCTTTTGCCATCTGAAGAAAGGAGTAGATCTATAGGATTCTACCCAATTTAAGCACTACATATGAGAAATACAATTTTTTTATTGATGATTTTATTTCATGGTCTTTCTTTGTTCGTTTCTGTGATCTCAAACTTTTATAGATGGTTAAAGTAAAAAGAGAACTTTAATGATCACTTTGCCTTTGGTCATTTGTCCTTCAATTTCCCCATTCCTGTCTTTGCAAGAGTAACCTTACTAAATCACTGTTTTCATTGGGTTATTTCTCATAGAAAGACTTGTTGTCTAGACTTCGGAGACTGTATAGTCAAGACTTTTCTTCTCGGCATTCAAGGCCTGTGAAAACTGACCCTAAGTATATAATTTTATTTTCCTCTGTTCTCCAATTTGAACAACTTTTCCCCAACAGGCTAATGCTTTCCAATTGTATACAGTATAGAATAACTTTTTCCTAATCTAATTTCCACATAACATTTAAAATCACCTTTAGTCCCACATCTTTCTGAGACCACAGTTTTTCATACACTAATGATGTATCTATGTAGTCCCGTATTTTTAAGAGAGTGTTTTATTGTTATTTAACTGTTCATGTATTTGTCTTATCTTCTCAAATGGTGAACTTCTTGAGGTTAGACTGAGCCTTTTGATAATTTATAGCCCTTTCAGTTATCATGCACATAGTGGGTGCACAGTAATTATTTGTTGAAAGATGCAATAGAGATTTCATAGTTTGCTTTCTTTGCTCTTTAAATTGCCAAAGTGAACAAATAACTTTCTTTGGAAACTGAAAGAAACAGTGACATCTGTGAATAAGGAGGTATAAATAGGAGATAGGGATGTTGGAGATACTTGGCCATATTTTCTAAGACAAATGTAATGGATTAAATATCATTTAAAGTATTCTTTTTTCCCTCCTTATGACTTTTCCTTAGCATTCCTTTTGCCAAAATCACAAGCAGTTCTTACTTGTTCTTGTAGCAAGAGGCAGCAGCAGAAAAGAATTTTTAATTTTCAGAATGTGTTGGTTAGTAAAAGGATTGCAAGCTTTAGAATAGTAGTTGGAGTTCTTCCACTGTCTCTCTTCCTGACCACAGACAAACACTCCAGCATTCTGAGAATCCCTTTATTCATCTGTAAAATGGGAATTATATAATACCAACTTCCTGTAAGTACATCACCTGGTATGGGGTGAAGAATAGAGATGAAACAATATAAATGAAGATAGAAAAGACTGTTTCTACTGGCCGGGTGTGCTGGCTTATGCCTTCAGTCCCAGCACTTTCGGAGGACGAGGTGGGTGGATCACCTGAGGTCAGGAGTTCGAAACCAGCCTCGCCAACATGATGAAACTCCGTCTCTACTAAGAATACAGAAATTAGCTGGGCATGGTGGTAGGCGCCTATAATCCCAGCTACTCAGGAGGCTGAGGCAGGAGAATTGCTTGAACCCGGGAGGCAGAGGTTGCAGTGAGCCAAGATTGAGCCGCTGCACTCCAGCCTGGGCGACAAGAGCGAAACTCCATCTCAAAAAAAAAAAAAAAAAAAAAAGAGGTTATTGCTATTACATGTCTGTTTACATATTATAACACTAAAATATCTTGCTAAATGTTTTTATATCCCTAAAAAGGTTCCCCTTAGTTTTTAAGCTTATAGGGAGGCAGAAATATATCCGTTTTTTTTATGGTACCTAGCTCAGCACCTCATGAATTGAGACATTAAATAAATATTTTTGAAATGTATCTAAGAAGCATAAATTAAATCAATTTAAAGGTTATTATCTAGTCTAATTGTCACTATCACCAACTTTCTCAAGCATCTTTAGAAATAAAAAGTCTCTTTTAAAACTTAAACATCATTTCAGGTACAGTTAAATTATTATTTGCTTGCTAAATCTGAAAACAAAACAAAAAAATTGAAAAGAATTAGAATTGCTGCTTTTAGAAAAATTCACAAATGGTAGTTTTCCCAGTTGTAAATGACACCTAATTTTCCAAGTAACCTCCCTCCCTAGATTCCCTCCTTTCTCTCTCCTCTCCTCATTTCTGCTCTCCCTCACATTTTCCAACTAACTAAATACTAGCAATATGCTAGGCACTGTGAATATAGACATGACTAAGGCACATTTCTATTCTCAAGGAGCTGCCTGTCTGGTGATGTTGGTCTGTACAGGAACTTCAAGTATCAAAAATGGTATCTCAATAATTCCCTTACCATGGTGTTTGATCAGGATATTTTATCTTCCATTCATAGGGTCAGAATGTTTCCGCTGTATTCTAATAGATTTTTGATAGCAATAAGGTCTGCTCTAAGTAAGTAATAAGGCTTTGTGTCTCCTGTTGTCCTTTGCAGCATCACCATTTTAATACAGGATCAATGTAGCAGTACTTTATAGTTGTAAATGTCGTATGGAGGTGCCCTTAGAATTTATCTAATTTAATGGCTTATATTACTGATAGGGAAAAACTAAAACTAATAAATGGAAGTTGGGATTATTTTAAAATTGTGTGCAGAATTTAAATCTTCCTTCCTATGTTCACTGATTTTTTAAATCTTTTTTGTAGCTAACAGACTGTTTTCCACATCACAGATATTCAAATATTTGAAGAAAAATTTCTTTCTCTTACAAATCATCTCTTAAACAGGCTCAGTTTTAGTAATTATTGGTTATATGATGAAGCTTCTTAATTTTTCACAATTATTGGTAATTTTTCTGGTTGAATTTGAATGGACCAGTCCCTCTGAAAACACATAATACATAAAGTAACAATTATAGAACTGTAGCTTTATGATGAGAGAGAATGGCTTGTGCCCCTCCCTCCCCATGTGTGCTTATTATTATATTGTTTTTTAGTTCCCCCACTTCCAAATTACTCTTGAGGTGTCTGGGTTAAATATAAGACTGGGATTGATTGTTGGCCCAGTTATCCATTTGTTACAAAGTTTTATGATAGCTGTATGGTCTGAATTGAATTATTGCTCTAGAAACTGCCAGCTCATTAATTTTTCTTTTTAAAATTTTTTCAATGTTATGATTTATTTACTTGCAACTTTTTTCTTGCTTTTTCTTTTTGATTTTCTTTAGTTTTTATTTTTAAAAATTTTATATTACAGACAAACAGAAACTTCTTCCTTTCATCTTTCCATTCTCTGATTTATGATGAATTTACTTTCCTTTGGCCTGGCATTTGCTTCAGCAGGCAGCCTTCCTTCAAGTACCTCCCTGATTGATGTATAATCTTTGATATCTTCCATTAGCCTCCAGGATCACTAAGTTCAAGGCCCCTTTGGAACCTAAGGAGCCCTGCCGAGGAGCTGAAGGCCTTCAGAGTCCTTGGGGTGATTGACAAGGTAATTCTTCAGTGTCTCTTCAAGAGTTCAGTCATAAATCGACTGCATGCTGACATTCTGTCTTTGAAGCTTTGGATCTTAAGGATATGAAACAAAAGGAGAAAATGACTCAAATGCATGTGCACTTTACAATAACAAAAGCAAAAGAGAAAAAGCTTTTATCTGAGCAATTCATGTAAGGTCATGCAAAATATATTTGAGCTAAAGGAGAAGGCGCATATTTGTTGGCATTCAGTTGAGTAAGGGGTTTGGTTTTATAGAAGTGTTATAGCAGAGTAAAGATGTATTGTGTTAATAACAATTGTGAGCCAGTAGTTGTTCAACATTAATTAATACGGTCATTGTAATGGTCAAAAAAGTGGAATCCCCTTGTAATTACCATTTACTGAGCACCTACTATATGTCGGACCCTATGTTAGGCATTTTATATGATACAATCTTTCTTACAATTGTATTTGCATCTTGGTGGAAAAGTGATGTTTAGAGCAGATTAAATAACTTGGCCCAAAGTCACATAGCTAATTTAGGATGGTGCTGGGATTTGAACATTACTTTTTTTGACTCAAAAGCTGTACTTTTTCTAGTACACTAACCCCTCACTTCACACCCACATGCATTTTAATTTTAGGGGTAAAAATACTGGCCTCACAGAGTTATCTGCCATTGTGTATGTGCAAATTTGGTGACATCTCACGCCAAATATTAACAGTACTGTTCCTATCAGATGGTTTACAAGTGTAATTTAAAAGCCACAGACAACAAACCATGTTTTAAGTATATTTGCTCAACCACCGCTTTACCATTCAAAGTAAATAAAATGCTTTATTTAATATTAAGGGATAGGTTAATTTAGATATTTTTTCACCATTAACCATTTTTTATGAAGCACCTTAATGTTCATTTTTAACTTACTATACATTATTTGTGAAGTATGCGTGTGATTCCATCCTAAAATTGAGCAATATGTAGTATTCTCTAGCAATTTAGACAGTAAAAGTTTGAAGCATTCCAAAGGGAACATTAAGTTGGATATTACATAAAGCTGTCGGTGTCTTAAGTTCTGGCAAGGATCATTTTTCTCAAATTCATATTACTGAATTTTGAACTTAAAAAATTCTAAGTAGTAGGATTTTTCTTTTTTTAAGAGCCTGAAATATTTTCATAACCGTGTTTTCTGTGGCTTTTCCAGTTTGGAAAACATTCAGTTTGAGAGTAGATGAAGACAATATAGTAATTGAGTAGTTTCTAGGTTCTCAGATTTCTTTGCAGGCAAGTATACCTTCTTGAGGTACAGTGTCTGCCCCCTCTCTTAGATCTATTTCTTTGACAAAGTATGGCCTTTCATTGCTATGCTATAAGTGTGAGTAAGTTACCTTGAAGTCCTAGTAATAGCTAGTAGTCTCACAGGTTTGTTTAAATAAGGGCTTTTGGCTGGGTGCTGTAGTTTGCACCTGTAATCCCAGCACTTTGGGAGGCCGAGGTGGGCAGATCACTTGAGCCTAGGAGTTTGAGACTATCTGGGCAACATGGTGAGACCCTGCGTCTACAAAAAAAGAAAAAGCTGGGCATGTAGTCCCAGCTGCTCGGGAGGCTGAGGGGAAAGGATCCCCTGAGCCTGGGGAGTTTGAGGCTGCCGTGAGCCGTGGTCATGCCTCTGCACTCCAGCCTGGGTGACAGAGTGAGACTCTGTCTCAAAATAAATAAATAAATAAATAAATAAATAAATAAATAAATAAATATCAAGTCTTTAAAAAAAAAGGAAAAATGCTGGGTGTGGTGGCTCATGCCTGTAATCTCAGCACTCTGGGAGGCCGAGGCCAGTGGATCACTTGAGACCAGGAGTTCGAGACCAGCCTGGGCAACATGGTGAAACCCCGTCTCTACCAAAAATACAAAAAATTACCTGGGCATGGTGGCACACACCTGTAATCTCAGCTCCTCTGGAGGCTGAGGCAGGAGAATCACTTGAACCTGGGAGGCAGAGGTTACAATGAGCCGAGATTGTGCCACTGTACTGCAGCCTGGGCGACAGACTGAGACTCTGTCTCAAAAAAACAAACAAACAAACAAAAAAAAACACAACAAAACAGGAAAGAAAGAAAGAAAATAGAAGGACTTTTGACAGTAGAAGAATTCCTAAGTTCTGCTGAGGGATAATTTGGTACTGTCTTTACTTACTCTGTTTAGCTGGGAAAAATGTTTGGTGTTTAGAAGGTGACATTTAACTTTTTTTTTTTTAATTGACAGAATCTCATTCTGTTGCCCAGGCTGGAGTGCAATGGCACAATCTTGGCTCACTGCAGCCTCCGCCTCGTGGGTTCAAACAATTCTTCTGTCTCAGCCTCCTGAGTAGCTGGGATTTATAGGCACACACCACCATGCCTGGCTAATAGTTTTTTGTATTTTTAGTAGAGACAGGGTTGCACCATGTTGGCCAGGCTGGTTTCGAACTCCTGACCTCAGATGATCCACTCGCCTCGGCCTCTGAAAGTGCTGGGATTACAGGTGTGAGCCATGGTGCCTGGCCTAACTTTTCTTAGTAGAGATAAGGGAATATGTATTTGGGGAATTAAGAAGCTTTGGGAATTAATAAGTCTTTAAAATTTATAACATATTCCTGTGAAAACATAAGTAGGTATAGGCCGGGAGCTGTGGCTCATGCCTGTAATCCCAGCACTTTGGGAGGCCGAGGCGGGCAGATCACCTGAGGTCAGGAGTTCAAGACTAGCCTAGCCAATATGGGGAAACCCCATCTCTACTAGAAATACAGAAATTAGCTGGGCATTGCGGTGGGCGCCTGTAATCCCAGCTACTCGGGAGGCTGAGGCAGGAGAATTGTGTGAACCCGGGAGGTGGAGGTTGCAGCGAGCCAAGATTGCACCACTGCATTCCAGCCTGGGCAACAGAGCCAGACCCTGTCTCAAAAAAAAGAGGAAAAAAAAAAAAAGCAGGTACATTTTTTGAAAGTTGAACTGTTTTTTAAAGATAAGTTACTTTCTGTTGTACTGAGGACTACCTAAAATTTGGGTTTTAGAAACTTGAAGTATGGAAAATAAATGTTGAATAAATTCAAAAGGTTAGAAAATAGCCAGGATATATTGATCTAGTCCTACAGAACACAGTTTCTTTGATTCTGTTTCATTACAGTATTTGGTTTTTATGAGTTATTTTGAGTGCTATCTATTAACCTAGGAAAAATACAGTTCTGAATTGAACTGCATTAGGATTAGGATTTCACAAACTTTTATGTAGAAAAAAATAAAGCAGATTTTTTATTAATATCTAGACTGTAAGCTCTGTGAAAACAAAATTGTGTCTTTCTTGGTCACCACTATGTTCTCAGTACCTAGAATCGCTTGGCACATAATGGGTGCTCAATAAATATTTGTTGAATAAATGAATTGAAACTTAATTAATTTTAAATATATATAGAATGACATCTACTGGTACAATATGAGACTGCTACCTGGTACGATTGTATGAGGTGACAACTCAGAAAGTGTTTACCCAGAGGGATAGTAATTCCATAGCTGTATGTTGATTTAGTATTCAAAGAGAAGTAAATGACTTTCTGTTCTTCAATTGGGATTATAAAATCCCTCATTAACATAGATATGCAAAAATTGTATATGAAGAATAGCCAGAAAACAAGGAAATGTTTAACCTGATTAAAAAAAAATGTGTAGTCTTCAAATAGTTGAGGGCTGTCTTGAATAGGGGAACTGTATAATGTTTTCTCTAATCTTGAGGGTGAAAAGGGCTATTAATTGTGTCAGAACAACAAGTGCAAACTAAAATCATCTCAGTTAAACCAGGAAGTCTGGTTTCTCTGTGAAAAAGGTAGTTAGGGAAGAGACTTGCATGCTAATATCCTCATAGGATATAACTAGAACCAAATTAGTACAAATTCAAGAGAAACAAATTATTGCTCATGATAAGAAATACCTTTTGAGAATTAGCATATTGACCAAAGGTGTGCTAGATTCCTTTAGATCTTAAGAGTTTCTTGTCATTTGAGACATTCAAGTGAAGGCTGAAAGATTGATCATTGGGATGCTATAGAATGAACTGGATGGAATTTTACATTAGATAACTTTTAATTATTTCTTTGATCCTGCAGGTTTATTTACATAGTCTTTGTGTAGCAATAGCAGGGGAGAGAAGAAATTAGCGGAAAAAAAACTCTGATGGGATGAGGAGGATGCATTACTATTATTTTAATATAAGTTTTTATAGACATGGGTGCAATTCTTTTTGTTGTATTTGTGTGGTACGAATATACGGGATGTGCTTATATTTGTATGTGTATAAAGATTGTTTATATATGGTAATTTGTAATTGGGTTAGAAGAGTCTAGATTGGTAGTTTGGTAGTAGAATGCCCAAGTGCTAAGAGAGTTTCTGAGAAAGATCACTGTTGTATAACTTCTCTATAAAAAGTATAAAGGAGCCCATAGTTTAGTATACAGTAACGTACCAATGTTACTTTCCTGGTTTTGATATTGAATTAGAACTATATAAGGTGTCACCACTGGGGGAAGCTGGGTGAAGGGTACATGAGACTCTTTGTACTGCAGCCTCCTGTGAGTTAAAACAAGAAAAGGGTAAGGGGAACATTGATGACTTGAAACCCAGAGTATACTAAGATTTGATTCCCTCATGGCCAGTTAACTCTTCTGGTTTGTGAGTAGCCTGAGTCATTCTGTGTGTACATGTGTGTATGGTATTCACAAGGAAGATCGGTGAAGATCGTATATCTGGATCGCCCAAATTTATTGTCACTGAAAAACAACTTAAATATGCTTTGCAAGTCATCGTTATAAGAGATGCCACACACTTTGTAAGTCTATGACTATTTACTAGGTCAGATGCCTTCACATTTTGTAATCAAGATAGCTTCCCAACTTTATCTGATGCCTGCCAGGCAGAATTCTTAAGTTGACTTGCCATTGGAAAAATGTAGGCATTTCTATTCTGTAGCTAAAATATAATTGAGAAAATGTGTGGAAATTGCTCAAATTGAGTAGCTGTTGAAAAACTGGTACTTATTTTTTAAGGTACCTAAGTAATATCTTCTCTGATAATATGTGGAAAAACATGTATTTGGAACACAGAAGCATCAATATTCAGGTATTTGCTCATTAAGGGAACACTGGATTGAACTGGATTAAATCAAAAGGACATAGCACAACATTTTTTAAGTGCTAAAAGGAAAGAACTATCAACCAGAATTCTATATCCTGTGAAAATACCTTTCAAGAGTTAAGGGAAAATAAAGGTATTCTCAGATGAAGAAATGCAAAGAGAATTTGTTGCTGACCAGCCTACCCTAAAAGAATAAAGTGCATTCTCTAAACAAAGTGGAAACAATACATGCAAGAATCTTGTCACGTTAGGAAGAAAGAAAGAACATTGGAGAGGGTAAAATACAAGTAAATACAATGGACTTTCTTTCTCTTTAGTTTTGGAAATTATCTTTTATGGTTGAAGCAAAAATTCTAACACTCTCTGATGTAGTTCTAAGTTTATGCAGAGAAAATATTTAAGGCAATTATAAATGAGGGAGAGTAAAGGGACATAAAGGAAGGTAAAGTTTTTATGCTTAGCTTGAAATGGTAAAATGATGACACCAGTAGTTTGCATGAGTTATGTATATATAATATAACTAGAGCAACCACTAAAAAGCTTTTTAAAGTATACACTAAAAAATGCTATATAGGTTGGGTGCAGTGGCTCACATCTGTAATTCCAGCACTTTGGGAAACTGAGGTGGGTGGATCACCTGAGGTCAGGAATTTGAGACCAGCCTGGCCAACATGGTGAAAACCTGTCTCTACTAAAAATACAAAAATTAACCAGCATGGTGGTGCACGACTGTAGTCCCAGCTACTCAGGAGGCTGAGGCATGAGAATCGCTTAAATCTGGGAGGCAAAGGTTATAGTGAAATGAGATCATGCCACCGCACTCCAGCCTGAGCAACAGAGTGAGACTCCATCTCAAACAAACAAAAAATACTGTAGATAAACCAAAATGGAATTCTAAAAAATGTTCAAATAACCCACAAAAATTCAGGAAAATGGAAACAGAGAGAACAAACAGAACGCAAAATATAACATGCAAACTTAAGCCCTAACACATTATAAATATACCAGTTAAAAAAACAGAGATTGATATTGGTTTAAAGATATGACCCAACTTTATGGTGTTTATAAGAAACTCACTTCAAACATAATATAATGAGATATATATATGATATATATACATATATCATGATACATATATATCGATATATATGATATATATATTTTATATATCACATGTTTGAAGTGAGTTTCTTATATATCATGATTTATATATCATGATATATATGTATATATATCATATATGATGCATATATATGACGTATATATCATATATATATCATGATATATATCATGTTTGAAGTTTCTTATATATCATGATATATATATATGTAAAAAGTAAAAGGATGGAAATGACATGTCATGCAAACATTAAAGAAAACAGGAGTGGCTATATTAATACAAGATAAAATATGCTTCATACCAAAGAAAATTATGAGAGACAGAGAGGACATTAGATAATGATAAAAGGACAATCTACCAAGAAGAAATAGCAATCCTACAAATGTATATACCAGACATCAGAACTGTAAAATATATGAAGCAAAAGCTGATAGAAAGTGAAAGGAGAAATAGGCAGTTACAGGTGGAGACTTCAACTGTCTCAAAAACTGATAAAACGGTTAGACAGAAAATCAGCAACAATACAGAAGAACTCCATAATACCATCAACCAACAAAATGTAACTGACTTTTATAGAACACTCTACCTAAGAACAGCAGACTACACATTCTTTTGCAGTGCCCATGGAACAGACCATTTCTAGGGCCGAAAAACCTCAACAAATTTGGAAGTATTGAAATCATACTGAGTGTGTTCTCTGACCATGTCTGAATCAAATTATTAATCAGTAACAGAAAGATAACAGGAAACTCGCCAAATACCTAGAAACAAACAGTTATACTACTAAGTAATTCATGGGTTGAAGAAGAATCTCAAAGGGTATTAAAAAAAAATGCATATAGTTGAATGAAAACAAAAGCAGAACATACCAGAATTTATGGGACACAGCTAAGCCAGTGTTCAGAGAGAAACTTATAACACTAAATGATTATATCAGAAAACAGGAACAGTCAAATCTAGGTTCCTAACTCAAAAGAACTAGAAAAAGAACAAAATAAACCTAAAGCAAGCAGGAGGAATGTAAAGAGCAGGAAGCAATGAAATTGAAAATAAAAAACCGTAGACAAAAATTTTTGCGTAAAGCTGGTTCTTTTCAAAGATCAATAAAATTGATAAACCTCTAACAAGAGAGACAAAAAAGAGAATACACCAATTATTACTGTCAGGAATGAAACAGGTATGGATCTTGCCTACATCAAAAGGATAACAAGGGAATACTACAAACAGCCCTACACATGTAAATTTGATAATTTAGATGGAATGGACCAATTCATAGAAAAGTACGAATTACCACCCAAAATAAATAGATAATTTGAATGGCTCTTTAACTATTAAGGGAACTGAATTTATAATTAAAATACTACTAAGATGAAATCTTGAGGCTCAAATAGTTTCACCAGAGAATTCTACCATACTTTTAGAGTCAACACCAGTTTTACACATTTTCTTCCTGAAAATGGAAGAAAGAGAAACAGTTTCCAGTTCATTTTATGAGACCAGTATTACTCTGATATCAAGACATTAGAAGAAAGAAAACTATAGACCAATATTCTCATAAGTGTAGGTATAGAAACCTTCAACAAAATATTAGAAAATAGCAACAAAATCTAAAATTAATTCTATACCATGAATTTATTATTTAAATTCATTTAAATTCATTAATTTCATTAAATTCATATTTATCTTTTCAAGAAAACCAACTTTTCATTTCATTGATCTTGTATTTTTTTTTTGCCTCAATTTGATTTATTTCCCCTCTGATCTTTATTTTCTTCTACAAATTTGAGGTTTGGTTTGTTCTTACTTTCTAGATCCTTGAAGTACATCATTAA